>NC_000004.12:109072896-109224411 GCF_000001405.40 Homo sapiens
CCAACCTCCAACATGAGTTGCCCTGACTCTGCAGCACAGTGTGGGATTTAATGGCTTATTCCATTCCTCCACTGTGTTCTGGGCTGGTCCCTGAAATCAGGTTTTATCAGGTTGAGACTTTTCTCTGAGGACAGATTTACCATTATTCCTTCAGTTTCCAGATGGGATCACTATACTGTTATACACACAATCTGGCCTATTTCAGAACCTCTGATACTGATAATGTGTGTGTGCATGTGTATGTGTGTGTGGGGGAGGGGCGCATGTGCATGGGTGTTTGGTGGTTGTCAGGAGGGGAGGCATGGTGGAGGGAGAGAAACCAAGACCTTGGCCTCTTACCTCAGAATAAATGAGCACTTCAAACACCTTTCAAATCCTGAATGTAACTTTGGCTGCTAATCTTCCTTTAAAATCACTCTAGGATTTGGAAATACCTCTAGAAATAACCTCCATGATGGGCATCATGAGAATGTACAGATCCATTAGACCAGAGATTTCCAAAAGGACAAAACTCATGTTCATCCTTTGAGCTGGCTCCTCCACCTGGTGTGTATTTACTCAAAAATAATAACACAATCGCTGCAGATCTTCTTTAATAAGTGCCCCCTGGGATTTTGGCTTAATAATATAACATTTCAGATTGCTAGATATTTAAGGTTTATCTCTGAAGCACAACAAAATGTATCCTTTGGGATATTGTAGCTTCATCTGTTTGTGTGGTCTACTGATAATCAATGTTCCTCTACTCATTGTAGCAATAATTTACATACTTTGAGATGCTATCATATCTTTCCTGGCTGCTTTCCTTAGAGGCTGAAAACACTGCATTTAATATCTACTCATAGATCATATCTTCAGGTCTCTATTATTTTGCCAAATTCTACTAATTTCACTATTTCTGTCTACTAATTTTTTGGCATTTCACTAGTTGGATTCTACTAATTTCTCAATGTCATTTCCATGACACAAGGCCACAACTAAAAATAACAGTTTAATAAATAGAAAAACAAAAACAATGTCCTTTTGCCCAGACTCTAATCATTCAACCCACAAAAAGATGTAGATTATTTAGGCCAGTGGTCCCCAACCTTTTTGGCACCAGGGACCAGTTTCGTGGAAGACAATTTTTTGACAAGGGTGGGTGGCTGTGGTTTTCGGATCAAACTGTTCCACCTCAGATCATCAGGCATTAGATTCTCGTAAGGAGCATGCAACCTAGATCCCTCACATGTGCAGTTCCACAGTAGGATTCCCGCTCCTATAAGAATCTAATGCCACCACTGATGTGACAGGAGGTGGGGCTCAGGTAGTAATGTTCACTCACCCACTGATTGCCTTCTGCTGTGCAGCCCAGTTCCTAACAGGCCAAGGAGCAGGACTGGTCAGTGGCCCAAGGACTGGGGACCCTTGATTCAGGCAGACTCAATGTTTGTGTTGCTGTTTGGACTAGTTGAGAAATAAATCAAAATGGCACCAGAAAAAATAAACAATTCTAGTCCCCCCACCTGAGAGTATTATTGGCTTTCTTTGCTTTGAAGAAAGAATAAGCAACTACTCTTAAAAATTCCCATTGTCGTAGAAAATGAAATGTACAACATTCATTCATATGCCAAATTATATGAAATGTTAAACAGGGTTAGCTAATGTATATAATCCAAAGAGTTCTCCCAAGCTCCTTAAACAGTATGAAATTTATATAGGCAGTTGGATTCCTGATGATGTGACTTAGTTTAAGTAATGAAATTAACATACTATCCGAAGGGAGTTCTGTGTATTATTCTCATTAATTATGAGAATATGATTAAATGATTTACTCATTTATAATAGTGCCACCATTTAGGCATTCAATGGAATCATACAGCTAAGAAAATCATAGATGTTTCATTTAAGAAAACTAAGCTTGTTTTAGCAAATTTTTAGTTACTAGAGTGCCATTGATACCACTCAGACACCAGAAAAGCATAAAGTTTCTTAATAAGATTGTAAGAAGTATGCGCATGACTTAAGAATTGGTAACATAAACTCACACATTTGTACACAAAATAGGTCCCCCAAAACACAATGCTAAAGTTAGGTGAGCTCTGTATTGCATGTATCCCTAACAAAGAAGCAAAACAACAAAGAAAAGGTAATTTCACCAAAATAGGTTATTAAGTTTCTCAGTAACACAAGTCCTCTAAAAGCAGATAATATTCCCCAGATGACATCATCTCACAGTTTTATGATGAGAATATGACAGTTAAGTACCAATTCAAAATCCAGGAAACATCAGCATTTTCTGAGTTGCTAGAATCTATGGTGGAAGTTTTAACACCAGAACAGAATATCACTGTTAGTCTCATTATTTTGTTCTTTTAAATAATTTTCAAGTGATATGTAGGCACTTTCTTTCCTATTATAATAAAATAATTACTAAATTAGTTATCTAAATACATATACTTTAAAATTGGAAGTGTTTTATTAATAGAGCTAGATGTATATACAAACAGAGAAGAAATTTTAAGTTATTCTATATACTTGGAATTAAAGACAAGACATGACTAGAGTCACGTTTGAAGGGGGAAATGATCATAAGAATTGCTATTATGTGATATGAATAAAATAGAATGACAAAATAGATGAAATATCAAAGTATATTAAAACTTTATTTTTTAACCTATTAGATCTTCTCACAAAATTTTGGGAGAGTACACACTTTTAGATTATACTTTCTTTCTCAAAGACATCTATTAACATTGAAAAAATGTAGCCCCAAAGGAAAAAAGTTAACACAATATGTAATAAAAATATATTAAGAATTTTATGCCTTTCACTTCCTGTGTATATTTTACCCACCATATAGTCCACACAGACTTAGCCAAATTAACAATCTATACGATCTTATGTATGCACTTAAAAGCCCACATAAATACCAAAACATCGAGTGTTTCCTGAGAATTCTAACTGACAATGCATATTTCAAATGTTTAAGCATTAACAATAAATACAGTCAACCCTCAGTATCCATGCATTCTGTATCGCAGATTCAACCAACCACAGATAGAAAATATTTGGGAAAAAAATTGCATCTGTAGTGAACATGTGCAGACTTTTCTTTTTTATCATTATTCCCTAAACAGTATAGTATAACAATTATTTACATAGCACTTATGTTGTATTAGGTATTATAAGTAATCTAGAGATGATTTAATGTGTAAGGGAGAATATGCATAGCTTATATGCAAATATTACTCCATTTTGTATCAGAAACTTGAGCATCCATGGATTTTGGTATCCATGGGAGGTCCTGGAACCTGTTTCCCACTGACACCAAGGAACAACTATATATCTACACTCATCAGAATTCTGAAGGGTCATATGAATATGATTTTTTAGGTGTTTTAAACTATATCAGCAATATCTGCTTTGTGCTTCACAGTAAAATTAACTCTCTCTTTAAGAGGGAATTTGTTCTTTGTCCCACTTTCAACTTTTATTAACCCTAGTAGCTTATTAATGTATTAATCAATTTATCACTTATCGAGTGCTTTTTATGTGCTAACCCTGGTGTTCTGCTGATTCCTGAGACAACAATGAAGAACACTTTGCATGTGATTCCTAATAAGAATATCTGCTACACTAGTAAGTACAGTAGAGCAGTGGTCCCAACCTTTTTGGTACCAGAGACTGGTTTTGTAGAAGAGAATTTTTCCATGGACCCAGTGGCCAGGGGTGGTTTGGGGATGATTCAAAAACATTACATTTATTGTGCACTTTATTATATGGTGATAGATAACAAAATAATTATACAACTCGCCATAATGTAGAATCAGTGGGAGCCCTAAGCTTGTTTTCCTGCAACTAGATGGTCCCATCTGGGGGTGATGGGAAACAGTGACAGATCATCAGGCATTAGATTCTCATAAGGAACGCACAACCTAGATCCCTCACATGCACAGTTCACAATAGGATTCATGCTCCTATGAGAATCTAATGCCATTGCTGATTTGACAGGAGGTGGCGCTCAGGCAGTAATGCAAGCAATGGAGAGTGGCTACAAATACAGATTAGGCTTCACTGGCTTGCCTGCCTGCTGCTCACCTCCTTTGCTGTGAGGCCCAGTTTCTAAGAGGCCATGGACCGATACCCGAACTTTGAAGGGACTGGGGACCTCTGCAGTAAAGGGTCCTGCAATGATTGCTCTTGCTGTGTTTAAAGCAAATCATCAGAAAAGCTAATTGGCACAACACCAAACAATAAGTAAAGGGTTTGATAAGTGACCACCATGGGCTAAATGAAAATGGAAAACCAAAGCAGGACGCATTAAAGTCATACAAAGGAAAATTTTTAAAAACAATAAACTTTTAGAATGGAAACAGTAGAAAATGAGAGATTGTGGAATCCATATCTATACAGCAATACTTAAGCACAAGACCAAGCACTGCTCTAGGGAACATGGGATAAACTATCAGCTTGTGGAATTTCTTTCAGATCTCTATTTCCATAATGCTAATAAAAACAAAACTAGCCTTCCATCTATTGCCTCTTCCCACCACCACCCCCCCGCCCCCAACACTCCTGCTAAGGAACAAAAGCGGCAACATTATTTTAAACATTACTTTCTTCAGCTAACACTGACAGTCACTATTCTGTCTAGCAGGTACTAGGCCTAAAGGCAGACTAAAAATTTTAAATAGCTATGAGTGTGTATTAGAAGCCCAATGAACACCAGCTTCAAACATTTTAGCCCCAGAGCAATGGGCAGCCATGGATACATGATGTCAACCGTCTGAAGGGTAAGAATGAAACTATTTTAAAATGGAAACAGACAGAAAGGCAAACACCCTCAAGCATTTTCAAGCTATGTCATAATAGATGGTGTTGAAAGCTGTACTAAGATCAAGTGCCGAAGGATAAGACTGCAGGAGAAAGTAAAATTTCTCCACAATGTGAGGAGGTCATTTATAACTCTGACAAGGGTCATCTCCCTACTCGCTGCTTTTTGGGTGACAGAAATGTTCACATTCAGAGTAGTTTGAAATATAGGTATTCAATTCTTTGGCCATCACCCATAAAGGATAATTTTGGGGATGGAGAGAGGATAGAAGTGGTCTGTTCGTAGTAGTAGGGGTGTTTTCTTATCTTTTCTCGGCTGCTCTTACAATGTCACCCATTATCCGGGTCTGTCCAGATAGCCTCTTGACTTGTTTGTCTTTTAAGAAGATTTTTGCAGTGCCTGGGTTTCTCTATTAAACTCTAATTTTCTGCTAATTTTCCTATAACTTCCTAAACTCAAAACAACACTGGAATAACATCACCCATAACTCATTTCCTAGAATGTGTTGAAGGTTTTTGTTTTGCTTTGCTTTTTAAATAAGAGTCAGGGATCTTGGTTCTATTTAAAAGTAGCCTCCGATACTTATGATGCTCCCTCTGAGTATTTACCACAGTGTAATTAAGTTAACCATGTGAATTTCAGCAGTACTTTATATAATTTTTGAGGTTATCTATCATAAATCGCCAGATACTCTCAAGTCTGCATTTTTCTTTAAACTAAATAAAATAAATGACATATAGCATTTGCATCACCAAAACTGTCATGCAGGCTTTTCTCAAAAAATAAAAGTTTAGAAAAGCATGTTTAAACAATATTTACCATAAAGCTGCTTTTCACAGCTCTTTCTGGCATCAGATTAAGAATACACATTTATTAAAATGGAATATAGAAAAAAAGACACTATTTACACAAAAGCCCATCCAAATGTTTAAATAGGTCTTATAATATGCAGGAAAGTTATTTCTAGGTGAAATGTTAAAATCCATAGGGGAAAAACTAGATGAATTGCAAGGCAGAAATCTAGCATGGACTGTGTTGTGACAGAAGTAGCAACACTGTGAAGTGCCTGCAAATCCGCAGCCTGGGCAGACTTCCTACTTGCCCTTGTAATCCTGAACACCTTCCTGGTATGATTAGCAGCTACAGCACACTGGCTTCCAAAGATGCATTTCTGAATGTGAGTTCTGGGGAAAGAGTAGCCTAGAGAGCCTTTGAATCCTGATATTTGTTTCTGCTTACTACATGGAATGCCAAGTGCAAAAGGCAAGGAAAAAAAATCCATGTTTTCACTGGCAAGCCTACAGAGTCTTGTGGTCAGAAGAATCTTACAATTTCTGCTGATGCTTCTGGAAACAGATTGATGATCTAGGTTACTGTGCTTTTTCAGAAGGGGAGTGAAAGAATGGTGTTAAATAAGACAGATCATTCTGAAATACAGTTTCATAATAATCCCAAGATTCAGACTGAACTAAAGTAAAGCTTCACCAATCTTTTAGGTGAATTTTTTTTCTCCCCAAGATTTCCATTTGTTTTCAGTGTCCAGACAGATTTCCAGCTGGACAGCTGAATGCTCTCATTGTTCTATTGAAGAATATTCTACACTATTTACCATTAATCAATCCAGTTTAACTGTGTAGCATAGTGTTTAGTATTAACTGAAAATTTTTTATAGCCATTTGAGCAATCCTTCTGAATTGAGTCATACATTCGTTTATTCAACAACAAAAAATGTTGTCATTTTATGGGCTAGGTACTGTGCTAAGTCCTGAGATGAAAAGCTGAAAAATAACACATCGCCCTTATCCAGGTGAGGATTTCAGTATGTACACAGAGATATACAAACACCTATAATAAGAGCTAGAATAAATTCAAGCTCAGATAGCTAAAAAGTGCACACAATAAAAGGAGCTAATTCTGGCTTATAGGAGGCAGCAGCTGAGAAAATTGAATCTCTTCACTGCAAAACTTAAGAAAAAAAAATCTATCCATTTAGAGTAGTTTTCCAGCATTCTGGAGCTGATAAGCACATTTTTGTGTCACAGGCTTCCAGTCTTCCTGAAAAGTCTTATTTATTTACATTTCTAAGAGTTCAAGCGAGTTAAAACTGGTGCTGTTTTGAGAAATTCATCATATCTACTGAAATAATTAGAGACTACAGGGGCAATATGGAATAGCAACCATTGATACGTAATTTAAACTCAGATTACAAAAGTAATGGAAACAGGAAGTGAGTCAATGGCTTTCTTTCCAGTCAGTATAGAGGTGTTTATACTAATATCAGTTGAGTGCTTTACTCAAGGAATTGGGCTGTGCCAACTTCTGTTTGCAAACTGTCATCACCAAATTGAGCTGTCGTTATCATTACCCCCACCACACACCACCATTAACAACACGTAGCATAAGCCATGTGCCAGGTACTGTGCTATTATAGATATTAATCACTCTTGTAATCCTTACCTCAATTTATATGATAGGTACTCCTGTTATTCCCATTTTATAGATAAGAAAACTGAGGCATAGTGAAGTTAAATAATTTCTTAACTAATTATTAAGTAGTAGAGTTAGGAAGTCTGGCTCTAGAGTCTTTGGTCTTAACCGTTATACTAAACTGTTTCTCCATGGATTTTAAAAATATAATAATAATAAATACAGTAATACAATATTTACCTAAGAAGGTTAATCCTAATAGAAAAAAATATTAAATTACATAAGAAGCAAGGGATAAATCACCTGTAGGACTCCGTAAGTCTGTGATACCCTTACCCAAAGTGTTCTACTGTAAAAATTGACAAGTTCTTTTCCAACAACTCCTCTATTTTTCTCACCTAAATAACCCAACATATAGGATTAATTTTAAAATACATAATTCACTAATTACCTTAAGAACAATGATGAGCAGTGATATTTTTTATGTAATTATCAAAAGATGTTGAACCCGGGGTTCTAATGAGTATTACATGGGAGCCCTCTGTTTTTTATGTTATTTAGATATATCAGACTTAAACGGCTTCCTATTTATTACTATTCTTTCACAATTGTACATAATTAGATTTTGCCACCTAAATTTTATGAAAATTTTCTAGATATATTCCTTCCTTTCCACCCTCAGTGAAACTGTTCTATTTTCAGCTATCTCCCACTTCAGTTGTTGCAATCAACTCTCTTAAATTACTGAGCTCATATGATACGCCAAGCATTGTGCTAGATGCATAATATACTTATCTAATTTGATCCTCATAAAAGTTCTGGGAAGAGTAGTAGTATCCACATTGAACAGGTAACAAAAAGTTTCAGAGAATAAATAACCTGCGCAAGGTCACATTGCTGGCGAGTAGGGTCACTGGGAGAATTCAGAAGCATTTCATGCATGGTCAATATTTCCCCCAAGATACCATCATAATTTACTGTGCATCTCCTCTGCCTCACACGTATGAATTGATTAATGTATGTTTTATGCTTGACCGGAACAATGTACAAGGTCTTTCCAATCTAATATACCATCATGGCTCAGCTTTCAATACTCTATCACCCACTACAGTTTTTTACCTCATATCAAAAAAAGTGCTCTAGATCATCTATTCAGAAAAAAGGGCAAGGGATATACAAAAATTATAGAAAATATCTTTAGATTAGATAGAATATTAATTCCAGTTGCTTTCATTTTTTACAGTTGAAATATTTAATAAACATTAGTAATGAACCCAAACTGATCTAACTAAACTATACTATTTTTTCGGAAACTGATATTTTGGTGTGTTTTTTGGTAACAGCTTTATTTCTATGTAATTCACATACCATACAGTTTATCCATTTAGAGTGTACAACTGAATGATAATTAGTATATTCATAGATATGTGCAACCATCACCACAGTAAATTTTAGAACACTTTTATCTCCTCAAAAAGAAAACCCATACCCTTTAGCTATCAACCCCTAAACCCATCTCCACCCCCAACCCAGCCATGGGCAATCACTAATCTATTTTGTTTTTTCTTTTATTTTTTTTTTTGAGACAGAGTCTCATTCTGTCGGCCAGGCTGGAATGCAGTGGCACAGTCTTGGCTCACTGCAAACTCCATCTCCCGGGCTCAAGCAGTTCTCCTGCCTCAGCCTTCTGAGCAGCTGGGATTACAGGCATGTGCCACCACGCCCGGCTAATTTTTGTATTTTTAGTAGAGATGGGGTTTCACTATGTTAGCCAGGCTGGTCTCGAACTCCTGACCTTAGGTAATCCGCCCGCCTCAGCATCCCAAAAGTGCTGGGATTACAGGTGTGAGCCACCGCGCGTAGCCCACTAATCTCTTTTCTATCTCTACAGATTTGTCTTTTCTGTACATTTCATATAAATAGAATCATATACTATGTGGTCTTTTATGACTAGCATAACGTTTCAAGATTCATCCATGTTGTAGCCTGTATCAGTACTACATTCAATTTCATAGCTGAGTACTATTCCATTGTATGCAAATACAAATTTTCTTCATCCATTCATCAGCTGATGGACATCTGAGCTGTTTATACTGGTTAGCTGTTAAAAATAATCCTGCTATGAACATTTCTGTACAAGTTTTTGCATAGACATATGTTTTCATTTCTCTTAGGTATAGACTAAAGTGGAATTACTGGTCATTTGGTAAACTTGATCTTTAATTATTTGAGAGGCTGCCAGACTGTTTTCCAAAGAGGCTGTACCATTTACAGTCCCATCAGCATGTATGAGGGTTCCATATCCTCACCAACATTTGTTACGATCTGGCTTTTTTATTACAGCCGTCCTCATGCATGTGAGGTAGTATTTCATTGGGGTTTTCATGTGCATTTTCCTGATTACTAATGAAACTGAGCATCTTTTTAAATGCTTATTGGCCATTTGTTTATCTTCTGTAGAGAAATGTCTATTCAGATCTTTTGACCATTTTAAAATTGGTTTGTCTTTTTATTTCTGAGTTGTAAGAGTTCTTTTTATATTCTAGATACGCATGCCTTGCGGGATATATGATTTGCAAATATCTTCCCCTATTCTGTGGGTTGCCTTTTCACCTTTTTTTCTTTTTTAAAAAACTTTTATTTTAGGTTCGTGGTTACATTTGCAGGTTTGTTATATAGGTAAACTACTGGCATGGGGGTTTGTTGTACAGATTATTTCATCACCCAGGTACTAAGCCTAATACCCAATAGTTAATAGAAACTGATATTTTGAACAAAATAATGCTCCTTTTTCCTAAAAAGAATCTCATTAAATATTATTAGATGAGAAATATAATATGATGAGAGAAGGATATTTATGAAAACTGTAGCATATAAAGTAAGTTTGATACAGCCATTTCTAAAATAAAACTTTGTAAAGGGCACAAGCAGCTTTAAAAATCTGATATTGTAATGAAAATTTAATAGGACTTCCAAACAAAGAAGCATTCATCTATTTCAGGACCTTCTGAGAAACAAATCTAAGTATTTGCCTAAGTCTGGTTTAAAAATGTCTGATATTTTTAACTCCATAATAGTGATCAATGTGATTTACTGATGTAAATTAGTTTGTTTAGTTGTTGTTTCTAAATATCAAAAAATGATATTGTGAAAGGCTAAAAAAGGAAAGCCTAAAAAATGAAAAAAATTTCTAAAGGGAAGCATAACAATTTTATTACTCCATACATTCCAGACTGCTTTATTTCTTCTTTAACTGCTATTTAGTATGACCAAAATACATAAACACCAATAACTTTTACACTAAATAAATTTTTTTTTTTTTTTTTTTTTTTTTTTTTTTTGAGACGGAGTCTCGCTCTGTCGCCCAGGCTGGAGTGCAGTGGCGCGATCTCGACTCACTGCAAGCTCCGCCTCCCGGGTTCACGCCATTCTCCTGCCTCAGCCTCCCGAGTAGCTGGGACTGCAGGCACCCGCTACCACGCCCGGCTAATTTTTTGTATTTTTAGTAGAGACGGGGTTTCACTATGTTAGCCAGGCTGGTCTCGAACTCCTGACCTTAGGTAATCCGCCCGCCTCAGCATCCCAAAAGTGCTGGGATTACAGGCGTGAGCCACCGCGTCCGGCCTAAATAAAATATTTTATACATACAAAACTACAGAGAGTAGGCAGGTTTCTGTAATAATCTTCCACAAAGAAAGATATAAAGTAAGAGAACAAAAAAGGAATAGCTTTTATCTCCCTAGTTTTTCATGTCAGTTTGCCTTTCATATTTTCACCTCTCTCTATCCTGCATTTTTATCTATCATAAAATAGAAAAACAACTTAAATTAAAAGAAAAAGACTACATGTAGCATTTTGTTTTGTTTTAAGAAAAAGGAATAATCCACTACACAAGACTCATTTTGTGTCACAAACTCTACAAAGCTTTTTCCTGAGGACCTTGTCCTGAAGCAGAACTTAGAGCTTCCTCATTTTAAGTCCCCTTCCAATCATGCACATCTGTCTTAGAGAATAAAACAGATGACTGTATTAATTTGTCCCATCTGTTCTGACTGTGGGACTGGAAGTTCCTTGAGGGCAAAGGACACATATTGCCTTGGATTTCTCGGTAGACCGTACAGAATTTGAAAGGGACTTCCCTAACTAACGTGTTGAAAGACAAAAATGAATAAATTATAGGTATGCCTTGCCTTAATTAAGGCCGCAGTATTAATACTATTCTCACAGTGTTGAAGTTTAAAAACTAAAACTGTAATGAAGGAAGCTGCTTATAAGTTAGCTCTCAAAATGAAAAAAATCAGCAACATAAAGTAGAAAGAACACACTTTTCACTGCAAATTCACAAAATAGGATCATTGCTGGTAACCCAGATGACTGAAGCACGTTTATTTTCACATCACATACTTAATCTCTCTAACACTACAGGGGAGCCTAAGCTACTTTTTATATTACATTGAATTCCCTGAGAATTTATTCTTGTATGTTATTATACAAGCAATGCTATAGCAAGAACCACACATCAGGTTTTTATGCCCTATGTTTAAGCCCATATTCCATTGTATTCTGTGGGCCCAGCATGATTCATTTAGAATGCAAAATCAATCTCTCATTTTGTATAAATCAGTAGTTTTCACATCTGAGAGCTACCTGGTTAGTTTTCAGGTTGTGGCATTTCATTTTATGTTGTTTTCTGCAATATACTGTCTAGTACTCCTTTGTTTTTGTTTTTTCAAATGGCAACCTAAGTTACATTTTAATAAATGCCTTATTCTTTCTTGCATTTTAATTTTTATCCCTACAATTCCAACAGAGCCCTCTCAAAAGTCACCAATAACTTTTCAAATTCAATAACCTTTCTCTTTTTTCAGTCTCCATGTCCAGATGTCATAGCAGAATTTGGGACTTCTCCTCCTTTTGGTTTCTGTGACACCAAATGATCCTGGTTCTCATGCACTCTGTGACATTGGTGTGCCTGTTCTCCAAGGTTTTGTGCCACTGTCTTCTCTATCTACTCTCTCATCCATTGCAGCTGGGGCTCCATCACCATTACCGGACTGAGTCCTGCATCTAAAGAGTCCGCTGAGCCCCATACAAGAGGCCAGCCTGCATTTCTAATTGTCTTCTATGTGAACAGAACCTTCAGACTCTGCAAATTCAACATTTTGAAACAGAATGCACGTTCCCTTCAGATGAAGTACAGCATATTCCTTGTCTCTCAGGTTCTGATTTCATTTAAAAGTTTACTCCCTTTCTCTCTTGTCTATTCTGCGATATATCTTGCACTCATTCTTCCTTCTGATTCCACTTACTCCGTCTCAATTTAGGTCAATTTCATTCACCTGGACAACTATAAAGTTCTAAGTGAACTAGTTTCTAGTCTTTCCCCTCTCCAATGCATTAAACATACTGCTCTTATGTTAAGTAAGCTTCCTTAAGGACATATCTGGTTATTTATTTCCATTGCACAAAAAGCCATCAAGGGATAGAATGCAAAAACTTTTGTCTAGCATTCAGTGTTCCCTGCAATATCTACCATATCTACCACCTTTCCAACCTATTTCCTTCTCCTCCCTTTGGGGATTTGGCATCTCAGCACAACTGACATACTAAATCTTTGTGCATACTCCAAGTGAAGATGTTATCTTTACACTGCTAGCACCAAGAATACTGCCTAGCCCATAAAAGTGCTCAATAAATATTTGTTAAAAGAATAAATGATAGCCTATACGAATCTTTTACCCTGAAAATAACATCCAGTATATTTTATAAGGATGAGGTAGAAGTTACTATAAAGTTTACTAAATCCAAAGAGTACAACCAGCCAAAGGAGGAATGGGAGTGGAGGCTACTAAGGAAGCCCCAGGAGGACACTTCCCCTGAAAGATTATTAGCTCTGTTGGAAAGCACATGACTTTTAAGACATAAAGTAAGAGGGCAAATAGCAACTTGCCAAAGAAGCTCCCAGTACTACACATTTTTTTAGAAGAAATTCAGTTCCTGCTGTTCTTTATTTACTTAAAAATGAGTGTCACCTATCAGAGTCATTTGTCAAGGGCTGAACAGTTGCAGCATAACAAATTTGAACCTTTCACTATGAATAATGCACAATTAACACACTGGCCAAAGGATGCTGAGTGTTTAGCTCAAAAACATTCTGGTACCAACAAAGAAAAGGAATCTTACTTGGTAAATTAAAACATATGTTGCATGTTTTACTCTCAACATCCATAAATTGAAGGAAGAGATGCCAATTTGTCTAGTAATGATGATGAAGTTGGAAGAACAGTGGGGAAAATCCTCCCCTAAAGGATTATTTTCCAGATAATTTATCATCTTCTATTTTTGCTTTGAGATATGTTTTGTGACGAGATCTTTATAGTCGGATTTGAACCATATGACATTTAAAATATTCAAAAATAAATAGAAAAGCTCTGTAGTCTATTCTCTAATCAGCCTTCCTGATTCTGTCATTATAATAAGTAAGTAGGACTCTTAATGCATCTAAATAAGCAATCAGTGTTATGCCCTGTTTTATGCTTGACTGCTGGGAATTGCTCTTTGACTATTAATAACTATCCATCACCCACGCCTGGCTATTCAATTAAAACTCTGGCTAAGTCTTCTTGGAAGAGTCTGTTTCTACTCAGAGGGGCCTAGGAAAGCTGTTCTGCAATGCAGCGGGCTCCCCTTACACACCTTTACAGGAGTTAGTTGAATATCACATGCTAGTGCCCACAGCATTATCAAAATACCGCAAATAAGTTCATTGATAGGACTGCTGACATGGAGTGCTGTCTCTTTCCAAAGTGGCCCAGTGGAAGTTGAGGGAGACAAGAAAAGGGTCAACAGACAGTGAACAATGGGACACTTGCTGTCACCTAGTCTGTGTGGGATCCCTCCTACTCAGAATGCAAGTATGAGTACAAAGGGATGAATACGGACCTGCCTATCAACCACCCAGTGTGTGGGCAAAATGACAAAATGTTCCAAGAAGATAGGAGAGAAGCAACATTCAAGTAATCCAAGAGCCATGGCTGGACCCCAGCCCTCAACAATGTGACTGTTAGCATCCATGCTGTGGCATTACTGTTTCTTTTAGCGTGAAAAAAAAAAAATCAAAACCAAAAAACTCTCTTTGAGGGAAGCAGCACGTACAAGAAACCTTAAGATTGCATGAAACTTTTTGACTGAACAAAGCAATAAAGGGGTCTGCACCTAAAACACAGAAATTTAACTGCACCACCCACCCCGCCTGCGCCACACCTAGATGACAGCAGACATGGAAATGCCACGGCCTAACTCATGCCTTGAAATCCAGATGCCTTCTCTGAAGTGATCCATGGACCACTCTTGCCTGAAAATAGAAGTGCCCTTTCTAAACTTACATGCACACATCAAGAAATATATTGATGACCCTTGCTTCATATCCAGTGGTCCTCTACTCTATTGAACCACACTTCAGGTTTATTAGAAACATTTAATATACTACTGACTGATCTGTTTACTATACACTGTGAAAGTCATATTACTTTTACTTTGCTTCCTTTATTTTAATAAGCTCTGTTATTAAATATAGACATTCAAATACTTACATTAGGAAATATATTCTTCAAAAATTTATTGCTTTTTGCATACAAAATCTCACCTGTATTTTTCCTTGAATAATTAGAATTCCCATAATAGTTAGAAATTGGGTCAAATAGCTGCAGTGGACTGAGATATACACTGTTCTGTGATTATTATTTAAACCTCATTCTATATACTATTCATATCATTATATTTTAGAAACAACACACAACTTGACTGGCATCCAAAAAGTTAATACAGGAGTTATTTAATACTCTGAAGCTTCTGTGGTAATGAATGGACTCTAAGTTTCCTTTTTTATTGAAAATAAATTTTTAAATATATATATTTTATATATATATTAAAACCTGAAATAAGACTTCAAAATTAATCAACACACATAGAAAGGCATATTTTATGCTGCTCTTATTGACAGATGCTTTTTAAGTTTTAATTTTATCCATCTTGTCTAGCACTTGAGAAAGTTGATACAGTTTAGAGGCTGTGTTGAGTGTCAAAAACATCTTTAATTTCCTCAGCTTTATGAGTCTGAATCTGTGAAAAATTAGAGTAATTATGTCTCCACAGTGAGGAGCAGGTATGGGGCATGGTTTAAGGTTCCGATGCCACCTGTGGCAAAACTGAACTGAGGCTAAATCAGTGGTTCTGAGATCTTTTGTTTTGTTTTCAAATAAGTAATTTTATTTTTAATTGTAAATTGACAATTTAGAATTGTATAAATTTATGGGGTGACATTATAATTTATGAGTAATACTGTACTAAAATGGTTGATGTGTCTGCCTCCACCATGAATCTATAAATGTCTAGAAACAGGAACTTATCCCATTCAACTTGCACCCATGAAGCTTAACACAGTGCCTATGAAGCAGACATTCAAAACTGATGAATGAATGAATGATAACGATCAATTAGCAATATTTGTTAAGAACCGGGTAACGTTCCAGGCACTGAATTTATAGTAGTAAGTGAGACAGTTTCTCTGCTTTCAGGGGATTTACATTCGAATAGAAGACATACTCTTCTCTGCGGGGCCACATGTAACCATTGAAGTTGGCAACATGAGGTTACTGGTGATTTGGACAAGAGAATGAATGATGGGGATAGAACCCAACTGAGTAGGAGAATAAAGACAGTGATTATAGAGAACTCTTTCAAGCAGTTTCCTCTGGGAGAATTCCAGTTTTAATACTGTGGTACCCTCTTCTCTTAGAAATCAACCACGTACAGCAAAGAGAAAGAAGCAGAAAGATAAATGGCATCTTTGCCTGACTTGTTCACTCTTTACTAAAAAACTTTTCAGAGATAAATGAAAAAGGGGCTTCACCTGCCCATGACCAGCACCTGAAGAGGAGGGCTGGACAAGCACAGTGGGACATTTGGAAAGAGTAGTTCAAGGAAATATTAAACAAAAGAAGACATGAAGTAGAAAAGCCATCACATTGTGGGAAAAAATGACACAGAACAATCAAAATAGAGACATAACCTCATAACCTTACAGAGAAAGGACCATTTAATCATCCTGGCAAAATGATCAGGTTATTTCCAATGAAATTACATTAATCCATTTTGGGCAGGTCAGTTCAATCTCTCATCTTTCATTCCTTTACTAGAATGCCCACCTCATAGGACATGAAGAAGGCATATAGCAGCTCCTGTATTTAATAAATAATAGCTTCTCTTCTGCTAGGTGGAGAATTAAAAAGTGCTTGACAGTAATTTCTTATATAAAACCTGTACTCATTTTATTTACTCTGCTTTTTCCATAACACAAAGGTCAACATCATTTCAGTTCCTGTTTGAATGATTACAAATTATGAGATCAGATCTACTTGAGGCATATAGGACAGTTACATCTATTATTTCACTTGAGTATATTTTTTAAAAATATTTTTTTTTTGAGACAAGATCTTGCTCTGTCACCCTGGCTGGAGTACAATGGCATGATCTCGGCTCACTGAAACCTCTGCCTCCTGAACTCAAGTGATTCTCCCAGTTAAGCCTCCCAAATAGCTGGGACTATAGGTATGCAACAACATGCCTGGCTAATTTTTATATTTGTAGTTGAGATGGGGTTTTGCCATGCTGCCCAGATTTGTCTCGAACTCTGCATTCAAGCAATCTGCCTGACTCGGCTTCCAAAAGTGCTGGGATTACAGGTGTGAGCCACCACGCCCAGCTATATTTTAGAAGTATAATTGCTACATAGGACTTTTTTTTTTTCAAAAATTCAATTAAAGTGACATAAATATGAAGTACTATAAATTCTGCATGAAGTTTGAGTTTACCAAATTCAGTATATATAAATGTAAAACATTTCTAGTTAAGAATATAGTGCATATATAATATAAACATGTAAAATGTAATAGAAATGTAATACATGTAATAGAAACATGTAAGATGTTTCTATTTCAGAATAAAGTTATTTCTTAAACAAAATTACTTTTTCTCTAGACAGAATTTAAGTTTAAAGTAGTACATTTGACCTATAAAAACCACACGGAACTGATAGTTTTACATAATTCCTACTTTAGCAAACCTTTGCTAATTTATTCATGAATGTTTAATCTGAATTTTTGTCCCTTATGATTTCCTTGTTAGTAGGTTTTCTTTATTTTTCTTCTACCTTTTGCCTTCACATAAAAATTTTTTCACTTTGGTAAATGACTTTTCATCTTAATTAAACATAGAGGAGAGTATCTGTCATCAGTCATTCTATTGCATTTATCAAAAAGTCAAGAGGCTGTTAGGAAACTATGAAAGTGCTTTCAGAATTTAAAATTAAAATATACAGTTTTAGAACTTACAGCAACTAGAACTAAACATACTGCTTGCAAGTGCTGAAATGTAGTTATGTTATGTCTAAATGTCTTATTAAAGACAATATACTTGTAAATGAGTGCTATTTTTTAAAAAAGCAAAAACCTTCTTTACTACTTAGTTTCACCCACTTCCTTCTTGGTCAGAATGCCAACTGGAATATTATCAGTTTAAAATTCCATTTGAAAGTTTATTTTCTGAATTAACATCATTGAGAACTATAGTGAGCAGCATGATGTGATGTAACTACTTGGGAAACAGTCTTTTGGACTCAGCATTAGTGATTGACATCTTCGAGGGATGAGTGTGTATCATCAAAGTCAAATCAAAGTTGCTAACATTTATAGCCTGGGTTGAACAAAGGGAACATTTTCAAATGAAATGTTCTAAGGGAAGACCTTTCCTCAGGACAGCTTATATATTTATATACAGGAATAGACATTAAATGTCCTGGTTTCCTTCTTTTCTCCCCAACTGTGAAGGGCAAAACACAAATTTGGCAACATCTCCTGGAAGAAAAAGAATCATATAAGTGGCTGAAAAGGCAGTTCAAGGAAGCAGTTTTTGAAATGCTTCAGAATAAAGTCTAGTCAACAGACTGACATCCAAAGCCTTCAATACTCTGACTACAACCTTCATTTCTAACTTGTTTGCTTTGATTCTCCTTCTGTAACTCCCTAACTACAGTTAGACTGGTCTCTCCCTACACCTCCAAAAGGTGTTTGCTTTTTCTCTCTGTGTTTGTGCTCACGAATACCCTCTTCTCCCCTTTTTGTCTCTCTAAGTCCCATTACTATTTCAGATGCAACTCAAACTCATTTTACCAAGTCTTTCTCAGTCCAAAGTATTTCCTTTACGCTCAAAACCACGACAACAATTGTCTATACAATTTAATTCTCAATTATCATGCATTTCTTTCTGAGATGTCCTATGTTGTTGTTTAAACCGTTATTTTCATCCAAATCGTCTCTGTGTGTGTGTGTGTCTGTCTATCTAGCCTATACTTTTATACAAACCCACAACACCTAACACATAGTTCACCATGCACAGCAATAGAGTTCTCAAGAGCATATATCACTTCCTGAGAGTTCTTTTAGAAGTCAGCTAAAGCATTTCCAAGACAGTTCTTCCCTTTCTGCTTACTAGTAAAATAGTGGCTCAGATATCTGACTAATAAATCTTTAGGTGGAAAAAAAAAAAAAAGCCCTGTACAATACTGTAATCCTTAACACCAGACTCAGAGGGAATCCATTTTAATCTGAAATAGGGCAGGACACATCACCACTTATTTTGAAGGGTCTGGCTGCTCTGCATAAACACACAAGCGCAGGAGTGAGTTTTCCAAGATTCATTGAGATGTGAGCCAGCGCTGTATGCCTCAGATTAGCAGCAAGACCAAAGCCGAGAGACGCAGACTCTTAAAACATTTATGACATGTTGGTCAGGAGCAATGGATGACAGCCCAAGGAAACAGTAACGTGATACTGAGCTTTTCACCTTGAGGTGACTGGTTAAAACTCAGCTTGGGATCATGAGAAATTTGTAGCACCCTAATGCAATAAAGAAAGCTATCTGCGACCCAGGGAAAGTGACCGTAAGACAAGGGCCACTACCACAAGTCCACGGGGAGATCTGAGACAGAGGCACAAAGCCTAAAAAGAAGTTAAGTAATCTGTAATCTCAGCACTTTGGGAGGCTGAGGTCAAAGGATTGCTTAAGGCCAGGAATTCAAGACCAGCCTGGGCAATATAGCAATACTCTGTCTCTACAAAAGTTCTTTTTAAAAAATTAGCTGGGTGTGGTGGTGCGCAGTCTCAGGTAGTCCCAGCTACCTGGGAGGCTGAGGTGAGAGGATTGCTTGAGCCCAGGAGTCTGAGGCTGGCTGCAGTAAGCTATGGTCATGCCACTGCATTCCCGCCTGGGTGACAGAGCGAGATGCACACATGCGTGCACACACCACGCCACCCACATCACACACAGCCATCACTTTCCGCAAAGAATAAACTTCCTCTGGGGCAACGCTCAAGGTCCACTCCCTCACCTTCTTACTCTCTTAGAAGTTATCTTGAATTCTAAGGTACTTGTACTAAATTATGGATTTGACAAAACTGCTTAAACTTGTCATTCTTACTGTCAATTTAGAAAAGTGATTTTGGTAACTGTGAAGGCAAGTGACAATGTCTACAAGACATTGTCCAGTGCTCCCTATATGCATACTTACCTTACTTTCTAAGATTTCTTAGAGTTTGCTATAATGGAGTGAAAAAGAGCATGCAACTTGGCATGAGAAGATCCAGCTTGAGTCTTGGACCTCAAGTAACTCACTCAATCTGTGTGAACCTCAGTCTCCTTTCCTATAGAATTGGGGTAAAAATAACCTATATTCATAGGAGATTGTGAAGATTGAAGGTTAAATGTACTATTGCCAGAAAAAAAAAATTTACCTCTGCCAACTGTTTTACAAAATCAAGTAAAATTACAGTCACTTTTTTTTTTATCCTCACTGGGAAAGGTTATACTGAACACTGGCCAGATTTCCTACTCCAGGCCAGAACAAAACAAGAAGTCTTAAACCCGGAGATCTTCCAAGCACATGTGCAGTTCAAATGATAAAAGGGAACTATCAGACATGACTTTAATAAGGCTTTGGAAAATACCAACTAAAACTAAAAATCACATTATCTTTGCCCCCCTATTTAGTCTAAGATGAAGTTCCTAACCCTTTTGTAGATTGCAACTAAAAATCATTTGACGTCTCAATTAATTTAATCCTTCCTCTTAAAAAATGCATACAGGCTGGGTGCAGTGGCTCATGCCTATAATCTCAGTACTTTGGGAGGCCAAAGTGAAAGGGTCACTTGAGGCCAGGAGTTTGAGACCAGCCTGGGCAATACAGCAAGACTCCATCTCTATGAAAAAAAAAAAAAAAAAAACCTTTTTTAAATTAGTTAACTGTGGTGGTGTGCCTCTGTAGTCCCAGCTACCTGGGAGGCTGAGGTGAGAGGATTGCCTGAGCCCAGGAGTCTGAGGCTGGCTGCAATGAGCTATAATCACACCACTGCATTCCAGCCCGGGTGACAAAGCAAGACCCTATCTCTTAAAAGAAAAAAAAAGATACACACAGCCAAAATGTGGGTTTTAAAGTAAAATACTGTAGTTCAAGGACTCAGAAAAATTTTCAGAACTAATGGCAATCCTGTAAAATAATATATGAGGCCAAACATGAAATTAACATTTTTAAAAGCATGTTTTACACTAATTCTTAATGCAATTTGGATGACAACATTTTGTTACCTTCAAATTTATCATCAAAAGCCTTTTCCTTTTTCTAAATTTATAGCAACTTAGTATTTCTCACTGCAAAAAAAAAAAGTTTTTAACCATTTAGAACTTTAGTTGGAAAATATCCATACCAAATCAAAGACATTGTAATGTCACAGGCCCTGTTTATTAATATTATATGACTAGTCAAATACAGCACAGTATCTAAAAAACAATAGAGCTTCAATAAATATGTACTGAATGAAGGAAACAATAAATGAATGAGTGAATAAATGATAAGTTTGTCTTCCAAGATTTTGTAAAACCTTTCTACATATATGAAATATCCTTCTAGTGAAAGAGAGTTGGTTCTTCCTTTCTCCATTGTCAGTTGCATAAAAATACAAAAGGAAACCCATCCAAACCACAGGCACATGATGGATAAAAGATAGTATTTAGGCTTGACTAGTCAAACAAATATTCATTCAGATCCTGCCAGAAGAACTAAGGTTTCACAAGGCAAACCCTTGAATTTAATTTTCCTCCTTTCCATTACATTTGCTTGGCAGACACTTAGCCCCATCAGAAGAGAATCATTAAATATATCACTGTAATCTTCTTGAACATTCAAGTTCACTGTGTACCGTAATACTTTTTAACTTTCCTTTCTTTAAAAAAAAATTAAAAATGATTCCTCAAAGAGAATGTGTGGTTTTATATTTGCTAACTTAGGAATCGTCTACCCCCTTCTTGTAACTACAACTTTCTTTCGGACTTAGCTTAATTCACATTCATACCTAGTCCTTGACATAAGGTTCTCATGTTTGGTAGCCGACTATCAACTTAATCAAATCATTTAAATCACACAGCATTAAGATACTACATTTTGGCAATACACTTCATTCCACATGTCTGAAAACTTTAGAATTTCAGACAATCAGTGGAAATGTAGACTGTTGATGATTAGTTTGCAAATGTTCTCCCCAAAAGTCAAAATAAGTCTATCTTTAAGTCATCTGATGAGTTACAAAGACTGTATTTGAAAACAGATTCTTCCAAAACTACAAAAAGTAAAGCAAAGCCTTCTAATGATTAGACAAGAACAAATCAGCTTAAATATATACTAATCATGCATTTGAATAATTGGTCTACATTTCTCCCTTCTCTAATTGTTACAACTTTTCAAAGAATACAATTCACTTTATTCTACTCCCATATAACCAACCACCATTAGTTGCTAATGTAGTAAAACATCATCCTAAATAAACTGTGTTCACTGTGAATAACGTTGCAATACACTGAAAAGTTCAAGCACATGTAACAAAATGAGTTACTTCAATATTCAAAGTAATGAGTTAAAGTTTCAGAAATCCCTCAAATGCTAACACTTTCAATGAAAGTAAATTGACATATTATCTTGTTACCAACTAATAAATGATTCTAGGATGCAGTAACAATTCATTCCACTTTGTCTGTCAGAACACCAAAGACACTCAGCTTTTAAGGACTGAGCTTTCTTTAGAACAAAGTAGATGATAAATGTAATTCTCTTATCAAAATATACTGGTGTTTTTTTAAAACCTAGGAATAGTAAAAACTTTGGGAAACTCATTCCATTATTTTTCACTGGAAGAGGGCATAATGATGCAGAACCAAAGTGCCAGAAATGAATAGGGACTGTGGTTCTCTTTTGACTTATGTGCTTAAGTGCACACTACTGGTGTGCAGCCCACATGCAGCCAGTATGTCAGGGTCCAAAGGCTTCATACCAAGAGATCACGCAGAGACAATGCATGCACAACTCATTTGTCCCCTGGGAAAGCTAAAGTAAACCTTCTGCAACCAGCTCTGAAAATCAGCTGCCCGTCTGAAAAGCCTTTGAAGAATTATTTTCAATAACATAGTAGTAAAATAAAGAATAATGGAGTAGCAGACACGGGTATTTGTAAAACAAGGCCTAGCTGGACTAACAAAGTGATCTTCTTACTTACTAGAGGCACTTATATGGAAAAGTGAGAGAGGGGATCAGCTGTCATATGATCCCTGGCAACCCCTAAAGGGCATGTCCACAGCACAAAATTAATCACATAAGAGTAGCAAGAGAAATTGTTTACCAAGAGTAGAAATTTGGTCTTTGCACACTCAACGACTGGAATTTGTGCACAAGTTGAAGATGAATTCACTAACTGAGTGAAGGGTTAGGAAACTGAAGTGGAGCGAACGTGTCTGGAATTGGAATGACGGGTTAGACAGCTATAGAACAATGGGTTGGCGACATGAGAGCCAAATGAATGTTGTCATTATCACTTAACCATTTAATGCATGTTTTCTTCATGCATAGCAAAATAATGTATTGCCTGTAAACAAACTTTGCCCTATTATCATTTTTTCAGCAGACAATAAAACTTTACTTCTACAGTTCACTACTAAGAGACTTCCTTTAGTAATATGATTACTGTCATGCACCACATAATGACACTTTGGTCAATGACAGACTGCATTTATGATGTTGGTCCCATATGATTATAATGGAGCTGAAAAATTCTTATTGCTTAGTGATGTAGCCTTTGTAATGTCACAGAACAACAAATTAGCTTTTCTATGTTTAGATACACAAATACCTACCACTGTGTTACAATTGCCTAGAATATTGAGTATAGTAACATGCTGTACAGGTTGGTACCCTAGGAGCAACAGGCTATACCACATAGCCTAGGTGTACAGTAGGCTATACCACTAGGTTTGTGTAAATCCACTCTGTCATGTCCACACAATGACAAAATTGCCTAATGATGTGTTTCTCAGAACATATCCCCATCATTAAGTGACTCATAATTGTATTATTATTAAAAGTTATATAGATTTAAAATGCCACTTGTCAAAGTGTTAGCTTAATAGAAACTTTTCATAAGTTCAATTTCTATTTTTAATTTTGTATAATAAATCAACCAAAAAACAGGCCTGTCATAGAACGGCACTCAGCTGCAGTTCCTGACAAATAGCTATTTCCCCTCCCTGATTATGGGACCAGTTGCTGATGTCAAAAGACAATACTATGACAAATTTAGTTATAGATTTAATTGGCTTTAATTCATGATTCATTAATCGGGGCATCCTCCATTATACAAAATAGAATGAGAGCTCCCACTGGGCAACCGTAATAGCAGGTTGTATAAGGTAGGAACAAGGAAACAGAACAATAGGAAAAAAGTTGACTAGTTAACCTCAAGTTACTTCAGGTTACTTTCTCTGTAAGGGTTAAAAGCAGAAGGAACTTCGTGTTATGCTGGCTCAAGTAGACTGAAATCCCCTGTTTGCAGGAAAAACTGGCCTGTTTAGTATCTATCTGCTTCTTTAATGTTTCAGTTTGATTATGTGGCATTTAGCACGACTGACTCCGTTTTGGTTTGGTCTGGTCTGTTTGTGCCTAGTGCAAGAGCTCAGTTCAAAACAATGGCCTCTCATAATTTTTGTTTAACACTTACAAGTGAGCCATGTTAATTAAAATTATGTTATCTGGCCGAGTATGGTGGCCTGTGCCTGTAATCCCAGCACTTTGGGAGGCCAAGGCAGGAGGGTCACTTGAGACCAGGAGTTTGAGACAAGCCTGGGCAACATGGAGAAACCCTGTCTAAAAAAAAAAAAAAAAACCACAAAAATTAGCCAGGCTTGGTCACACGCACCTGTAGTCCCAGCTACCTGGGAGTGTGAGGTGGGAGGATCACTTGAGCCCAGCAGGCAAAGGTTGCAGTGAGCCCAGATGGCACCATAGCACTCCAGCCTGGGTGAAAAAAGCAAGACCTTATCTCAAACATATAAATAAATAAATAAAATTATGTTATCTTAGGTAAACATCAATTTTTTTTTTTTTTTTTTTGAGACAGAGTCTTGCACTGTCGCCCAGGCTGGAGTGCAGTGGCGCGATCTTGGCTCACTGCAACCTCCGCCTCCTGGGTTCAGGCGATTCTCCTGCCTCAGCCTCCCCAGTAGCTCGTACCACAGGTGCGCACCACCACGCCCAGCTAATTTTTGTATTTTTAACAGAGATGGGGTTTCACAATATTGGCCAGGATGGTCTCAATCTCTTGACCTCATGATCCACCTACCTCGGCCTCCCAAAGTGCTGGGATTACAGACGTGAGCCACCGGCACCAGGCACAAATTTCATTTTTTAAGATGCAAATTAAAACCATTTAAAATGATGGAGCAATGACATTCTCTAGGGATAGATGGTGTATCAATTTCATAAAGGCCTCTGCTTCAGGAAACTATTGTTATTATTCTGTAAATGCACATTACATGAATACTTTTTTGTTGCTCCAGACAACACTTTTACTACCCTTCATCAATATCATCTACTTTCTCAGTTTAGAGTATGCTACTTTTCTTTAGGCAGACACAGAAGTGCTAAATTGCTTAAGCTGATACGCAGTTTCTAAGACCCATACTGTCTTGTGGAAGTGTCTGTGGGCCAAGGGAAGGCCCTGGATAATCGGACATGTAAGTGATGGTTACTTAGAGGTGTTCTGAAATATAGGAAACTGGGAACCCAAGAATCCTCACCTCTGGACAAGTGGCTGTTTCTCTTCATGATACCAGCACCTGCTTTAATCAAGGAGACCCATAATCCATGTAGATGTAAGACTTTGGATAAGATAAAGCAAGTGCTCATATGAGAGTAAATATCTGCCTGTGTTGTAGATGCAGTTTAAGTATATATAATTCAATTATGATCAATATTATGCATCATTTTCACTCTCTGGATGATAATTAAATCTTCTTATGCTCAGAAAGCAAAACAAAACAAAATTTTCATCTTAGATCATTGAAGCCTTCATCAATCTTCTTTATTCACATTAGTATTCTTTACTCAGTTTAACCAGTTGTACTGTCTGGGTCAAATAATTTTACCTGATAGCAAGAATATAATTCATCAAGAAGATAAAGAACAAAATGACCCCTATTCCCCAATCTACTTTAAGCACAGGATGTTTAGTCTATAACCAATGTTAACTGCAAACTTTGAAAGATTAGACAACAGAGTGAAATAAAGTAGCAGTTACATTAGGTTGTAATTAAAAGCATGGATTTTGAAATCAGACTGCCTTGGTTCACTTCTGGCTCCAGTACTTAGCAGTTCTGTGAGCTTGGATATCAATCTGTGAAAGCTCAGTCTCCTTATCTACAAAATAGCTACTTCACAGGAGGTTATCCATGTAAAGCATTCAGGGCATGTAGGGCACACAGCAAATACACAATGAAGGTTAGCTCTACTATTATTTTACACTATTTTCTAATGATCTAAATATTGTTAATAAGATGCTTTCCTTTAAGAAGTTCTGTGTATGGTGGGAAAAATTAGCAAAATCAAAACCATAAACCTGAACCTTTTGTAGAATTTTGTAAGCAGATAATCAGAAGAATGATTGCCTTGCTTGGGAAAAGGTAGATGTAACAACAAATAAGAAATGAGAAATCTACACCAACATAAAAGTTTTGTTAAACTGACTTGGAAAAGCCAGCATTGCACAGATTTCCAACTGAAATATTTGCATATCTAGACAAGAGGCAGTATATTTTAATGATATATAACTTTTCTGATATAAAAGAAAAGGTATAGCAAACCATTCTTACCAAAGGTTCTGTTTAACTTCCATGAAAGTGATCCTTTGCCTATATTACAAATGAAATATTTATATGTTAACATCAAAAATAAATAGAAAAAAATAGAATTATGGAACTTGTAGAACCAATAATTGAATATTAGACATAAAACAAGGTGGGAAGTCTTTTAAAAATAGGTTCTCCCAAAGTTATAAAAAAAAAAAGAAAAATAAATAATACATTTGAATACATGAAAGTCAAGTCTTTTACATATCCCAAAACACCATAAATTAGTCTGAAAGGTAAATAACTAGGAGAAAAAATAAATATATATGTATAACTAATGTATAAAAAATTCTGATGAAAACATGAGGGCAAAAATAGTTAATGTGAAAGAAAAAACCCAAAACACAGAAACACACGAAAAAGGCCAATAGACATATTTTAAAACTATTTGAACTGCTAATATTTGGACAGCCATCTTTCAATCAAATTAAAACAGCAGAGATATGATTTTTTTCACCTCCAAATTGGCAGATAAAAAATAATAGCATCATGTGTGGGGACAGCATGTGGGAAATCTCTGCCCTCCTCTCAATCCTTCTGTAAGCCCAAAATACTCTAAAAATATTAAGACTATTGAAAAGAATGATAAATTCACAAGAAATCGGGCACATCCATACACTGCTGTAGGAGTGGAAATGGTGCAATTTTTCTGAAGGTCAGTTTAGTAACTTAAGCTTATTATTTGGTACACTACTTCTAGTAATTTAACTTAAGGAAATAATCATGGAGGCACTCAAGGGTTTGTTCACTGTAAAACATGCAGTCATTTTCAGCAACGAAGAATCATTAAGTAAATTATCAAAGGATGGTAGCCCTCATTAAAAATCATAAAAGTGGAATGTCAATTAGATATGAAAAACATTTTCAAAATACTTTTAAATAAAATCAAAACCAATGACAAAAAGTACAAAAACTAGATAAAATATAAGCCCATTTTTGTGAGAAAAAAAAAAAAAGACTGGAAACATACACCCATGAGTTAATAGTAGGTAGGTCTCACGCTGTCTGTGGGTGACTGAAATAAGGAGAATTCATTTTCATGCTGTCTGTGGGTGATTGAAATAAGGAGAATTCATTTTTTCATTTACTTGTTTGTTAATCTTATTCATATTATCTAAATTTTTGGCCACAAAAGTTACACATATTTTCCCTGTAGCATTTCTATACCTAAAGAATAAAAATCTCTTCTTTAACACCTTTAACACCAAGCTTATCTTCTCCTGAGAAAAATGTTAACCTCTAGTAAGTACTGTTAATTATGAATTTCCATACAAATAACCTGGAAATTTTTGTTTTACAGGGTTCATAGCTGGGAATATGACAATGGAGAAGGAGATATGCTATACACTGCAAACCCAAAGACAGTGAAATACTCCCGATTCCAATTGCTTCATAATCAGACTTCAGAACTGAAAGGTAGACATTCAGGCAGTGATGGTTATGAAAAGGTGATCTCACCCAAACTCAGGTTGGTTTTCTCTGACCAATTTAATAAAAGTTTACTAGCTAGCTATTTCTGGTCTCAGAATTCTAAGGCCATCATTGTAGGAAAATTTTAAAGTGGCTACTTCAAAGGGGCCTTAGATAAAGATCAAAGTGGAATATAACAGGAATAGGACACAACTCAAAACTTCCCCTTTATAGTGTGATGAGAGTATTATTGTTGATGTCACGGAATTGTCTTGGCCAATTTGAAAATACTCAAAATAGAATTCAAAGGGAGTAAAAAAGAACCACAAGACTCAACGTGTTTCACCAAATACTGTGTGATTTCTCCATGACAGTAATGAGAGAGGTAGAAGCTGGGGAGGAATGCACAGGTAAGGCTGAGCCCTCGGTGACTGCAGGTGAGAAAAAAGTGAGGACAGTGGAGAAAAGCTGCAGTCAGTAGCAGCAAAGCTTGCTAAATAAGCTACAGTAAAATGCCCCTGGTGCCACAAATCTAAGCCTATCTGGCCTTGTGGAAGATAAAGTTGCAAAAGAATTGTTAAAAGATCAGGGTAATTTGGGAGAGCGGGGGATAGTTCTTAAAATGGAGATTTCAAAATATGCAAAAATGTACAAAATGTACGAAAGAAAAAATCCTCAGTATCACTACTCTGTTTGCAGAAGCTAATCCAATCCTCCTGCTTTCCCATAATATTCACCAATTCCTTTTCTCCAGAAACAAGTCTAGGTGTCTCTTGAACTCATCTATTGCTTTTCCCAGTAATTTATTCCATATGTTTATTATCTCTTTCATGAAATGCTCTCCACTCAGCATGGAAGTAGACAAAGCACACTCGTCAGGCTGACATCTGGCTGTCTCTTTCAGAAAGCAAAGACCCTTTCAATGCTTCTCTTGGGCCCCCCTTTCACACATCCTGAACTTACTGAGCTACAGATGAAATGTTCTTCCCTGTCCCCCATGAAAACTCACAACCAAGAGTTTAATGAACCCCATTCCATAAATAAATAGCCCACTACACATTATCCAGACTATCAATTTTATAAAAGCTTAACATGAAATACATCACATGTATGTTTCTGTGATATTTTGTCTCCCTTAGGATATAAATTCTTTATAAGGAGAACTTTTTTTACATACAGAGCATAATATGATTATCATGTTCACCTTATAGAAATCAATTGTTTTCAATTATTCTAATTCCACTAACTTCACAAAAACTCAAACATGTTTGAAACTCAACTTTTTATGCATGCATGCACATGTATTTTACATGTAAAATATAATGTATAAAACTATAAATTTTATACAGGTAGATAAATATATATTTAATTACTCTTGTGATTTTTTTCCCTTAACCTTTGTGTAATTTATAGGTGCTTTTATAATTTTCAGATATCTTTTTGCTATTGATTTCTGAATTAGTTTCATTATGGTCAGATATTTCCTGTATGGTATCAATCCTCTTAAATTTATTGAGCCTTGTTTAATGGTCCAGAAATATAGTCTAGCTGTTGAATGTTCCATGTGCACTTAAACAGACTCTTCTGTTGTTAGGTGGAATGTTCTACTAATGTCAATTAAATCAAGTTGGTTGATAATATTTTTCAGGTATTCTATTTCATTACTAATTTTCTATTTATTTGTCCTATCAATTTCTGAAAAAAGGATGTTGAGATCTCTGACTAAAATTGTGGGATTTTTCTATTTTCTCTTGTCAGTTCTGTTAATGTTTGCTTCATATACTTACAAGCTCTGTTATTAGTTACATATACATTTAGGATTGTCATGTCCCCTTGATGAAATGACCCATTTGTCACTATAAAATATCTCTATGTACCTTTCATAATCTTTCTTTTATAAAATCTATTTTGATTTTAATATAGCCACTTTAGCTTACTTTATGCTTACAGTCAGTTCCTGGCAGACAGCAAACAGTTGCTCTTTATCCAATCTGAAAAATCTCTGCCTTTTAATTGGGGGTGTGTAGACTATTTACATTTAATGCAATTATTATTATGTTTAAATTTAAATCTTCTAACTTGCTGTGTATTTAAGCAGATATTTATAAATCATGTAAATACTATAGATATCGCACTAGTTTGGTGATTGCACTTACCATTCAAGAAACAAAAGATCTCTTAACACAGAAACCTTTAATTAAGAGCCAAAGCAACACACTGATGTTCTGAAACACACATTCTTGTCCTTAGCTGGTGCTACAAAGAGATCTTATTTCATTAACTTCAAATAAACTAATACATCACTATGCAAAACAAATAAGAAACCATAATAAAAATTCAATGTTTTCATAGAAAGTTCATTCTTCCTTTTCTTTGCACCAAATTATATTTTTAAAATAATAATTTCACAAATCAAATCTTGCTAAATGTTAACTCTCTAGACAAATTCAGTGAGACTGCAATCAATGCTCCTTTTGGTAGCATTACTAAATACTTTTGTTTTTTGCCTCACCCCTTATTCTGCACTATCTGTGTTAGTCAATTATTCCACCATTAAAATAAAAATTTATTTCCCACTTGCTTTTAGGATCATACCTAAAGCCATGGGGTCATGCTTATAAGTCACCAATTTTTTATTTGCCCATATAACCAAGTATGTACTTTCTCTTAAATTGTCAAACAAGTTTCAAAGTAATTTTTTTCTTCAAAAAATACAAAAATACCCAGAATTGTGGTATTGAAATGCCATTTCTCACTGAAAGGAATGAAGTCTTTTGAGAAGTATCTGAACTCATGTTTAAAATGGAAAATGAACAAATTGAACCTGAAGCATCTTGTCATGGAAGCTATCACAACCACTAGCGTTCTGTCAAAGGGCTCAGAGCCAAGTTGGATAAAAGATGGTGCAATTTGATCACTAATAAGGTTAATAACTACAAAGTATTGACATATTAAATCCATGAATTTTTAATGATTCAAAAATATACACATTGGCCATTTTTTGGAAGATGCCAGAAAATGACTTCATTATTTTGAATACTGATAAAGAAAAAGACTTAAATGGGAATCATTTCTTTTCTATAGAAATTATGGCTCAGCACAACTCAACAGACAATGATTTCAGACATTTTAACAGAAAATTTTTTATAGAAATATTCCAACTACAAATGCAAAAGGAATACTAGAATTAGAAAATCACTCTTTTTAGCCAGGTTGAATAGCTCATGCTTGTAATTGCAACACTTTGGGAAGCTGAGGTGGGAGGATCACTTGAGGCCAGGAGTCTGAAACCAGCCCTAGCAAAATGTTGAGACCCTGTCTCATTAAAAAAATGAAAAATTAGCTGGGTATGTTGGCACATACCCATAGTCCTAGCTACTTGGGATGCTGAGGTGGGAGAATCCCTTGGGCCCAGGAGTTCGAGGTTACAGTGAGCTATAACTGTGCCACTACACTCCAGCCTGGGTGACAGAGCAAGACCCTATCTCAAAAAAATAAATAAATAAAAAGGAAATCACTCTCTCTCTCTCTCTCTTTTTTGCAATCTGTAATGAATTAATGGTTCCAATCAATGTTTACTAAAGTCAGATAAAGGAGAGCAAGAGAGAGCAAAAATTAGACATGATGTATCTCCTAACACAAGGTCAAAATTCCCATTATGACATGGGTTTGCCAAAACATGAACTTAGTTTTGACTAAGCCTCTAACTCTTAACTACCAATTAGAAGGAAATACAAGGAACAGGGGAACACATTAAAAGACACCTTTAGGAATGTAACAACAAAATCTGGAATCTGGGAAACTACAGGATAAATTAACTAATTTCTTCAACAACAGAAAAAAAAGAGAGAGAGAGGCAACCTATAAATTAAAGGAAACGTATACATCTCAACCAGTTGTAAGACGATGTTTGAATTCTGATTCAAATAAAATAACTGCTAAATATTAAAAACACAATCAGAAAGAGGAAAACACTGGATATCTAGTGATAAGAAATTGCCATTTATTAGATGCAATAATGCTATTGATTTAATAAAAATTGCTATTTATTAGATGCAATAATGGTATTGTGGTTATGGTAAATAAAGTCCTAATTCTTACAGATAAATATTGAAATGCCTGCATATGAAATGATATTCTACCTTGGATTGTCTTCAAGATAATCCTGGTGGTAGGGGGAAGTGGGTAGGAATAGGTGCCTTATGCTGATCACTGTGGAGGCTAGTTGGGGATAAATTATTTTGTGAAGCTACTCTAAATACTTTTGCATTTGTTTTTATAATTTTCTGTAATAAAAAGATTCTAGGCTGGGCACAGTAGCTTACACACCTATAATACCAGCACTTTGGGAGGCCGAGGCAGGTGGATCACTTGAGGTCAGGAGTTCGAGACCAGCCTGGCCAACATGGTGAAACCTCATCTCTACTAAAAATACAAAAATTAGCTGAGCATGGTGGTGCACACTTGTAATCCCAGCTACTCAGGAGGCTGAGGCAGGAGAATCACTTGAACCCAGGAGGCAGAGGTTGCAGGGAGCCAAGATCGTGCCACTGCACTCCAGCTTGGGATACAGAGTAAGGGGATACAGAGTAAGAGGCTCCATCTCAAATAAACAAACAAAATTCTAAAATCTAAATTCTGCTCTCTCATTGTATTTAAACTAAATGAAAAAGAAATTGGAAGAAGTTCATTAAATAATCTTGTTGGTGACAATTTTATAATATGTAATGGAAAGAACAGAAAGAAAAATGAAGAGCTATGAAAAAGTGGATAAATAAGGCTTCACAACTTGGAAATATGCCATTTTCCTGGTTTTAAAGAGTGTAAAATGACCCTAGGAAGAGCTCTGGCACTTGCCCTTAAGGATGGTTCTCCCAAGGAAACAGAAGGTAAAGATATTAAATAAAACCCCACATCCTCTTCTGCAAACTTTAATGTACCAAGCAGCAGCTTTTCCTTTTAAATACACTTCTTTTATGAAACCGATCAATTTTATTTCCATGTATTGAGTATGGTTAGTTTCTAGAAGCTGTAAAGTTTCTGTCAAAACTACTTTACTTTATGACAATCTTAATTATCAATTTCACTCAAGAATATCTTATTATTAAGGATGTCAGACACCATCCTCTATTACATTTAGTGAATGAACTACTGTGCTTTCTACATTTTCAGTATGAGGGATCTCGCTCACATAATCAGGATGATAACATAGGAAAAAGAATATTGTTAATCTCCATATAATAAACATACATTCTAAACAGACTGATGAGCTATACAAATTATCTTTCTCTTTTTGCCTCCCTACTCCTATCCCACAATTTCCTACAGTAGGCTATTGTGACAGTGACCTATGACACCAGCCACAAGCACCATTTCTTAAAATTTGAGAGCGATGAACAGTGAAATTTCTGTCCCAACTCCTCCTAAATTGTCAACTTTCCCACCAACTACACTGACTTAAAATCAGTACGTTGGCATTTGTATTTATTTTGATAGTTCAATGAGTTTTTAGCTTAAAGTTTGCCCCTCTCTCCCCAACCAAAATAAAAAACCTAGGACATTCTGATACTGTACACTTTACAAGACAGATTTGTGATTAAGACTGTTATGCTCATCCACAGCTACCTTACAGGATTATTCATGACACTGAAAGAGGTATTCAGCTATCTCAGAAACTTAAAAAAAAAAATCAATGTGAGGAGTGTTATTCTGGAAAAGTATAGCTAAGAGCATTTGTGTGTATATCTTACTAACACTGGGCAGAGAATATTAGCTGTAAAAATAGGATGAAAAGTTCTCACCAAAATGGAGCAGTATTTCAGCCCCACCAATCACTTTGGGACTATATGCATGTGTAATTCCCAATATCCATTTTAAAAAAATTTTTTGGGGGGGTGGGAGGGGGCAGGGTCTCGCTCTGTTGCCCAGCATGAAGTGCAGTGGCACAGTCATGGTTCACTGCAGCCTTGACTTCCCAAGCTCAAGTGATCCTCCCACCTCAGCTTCCAGAGTAGCTGGGACTACAGGCGCAGGCTACCTCGCTCTGCTAATTTTTTCTGTTTCCTGTAGAGATGGGGTCTCACTATGTTGCCTAAGCTAGTCTTGAACTCCTGGGCTCAAGCAACTCTTCCTCCTCAGCCTCCCGAAGTGTTGGGATTACAGGCATGAGCCACACGACTAGCCCATTTAAAATTTAATAAGTGCTTCAAAAAGTTTTTTTTAAACTTAGTTTAGTGTAAATCATAATGACAAATTCAGTATCCACCATAAGTTCCAATGAAGCAATTTAGACAAAAAGTAATATTAAAGAAAACTAGGTAGTTACTGAGAACACCTTTTTTTACCCTGTCTCCACAAAATGCCTAAGGGAAAATTATTTTCTAGGAAAAAATATATTCTAGGTTTCTAAATGGACTTCTCATTGAAGGTCCTCAGGAGTTATTTTCCACAAAATCTGTATTTACAGATTTTATTTTTCCTATTTCAACCTCAAAGATGACTAGATATTTTGAAGTTTATACCTCAGTGTAACAATTTAGGAGTAATATGTATTATAGATGTTTTGAGCTGTGATATAACATTTTTCATCTATTTTTACTGAGAAAAGGAAACTAACCACTTGTCATTTAGTAAGATAATAACATTTTTTTCATCATTGACAAGTGAAAGTTGGAAATGCTGGAGGTGAGGAGAAGAAAAGCCCAAAGGAAAAAAGAAGAGATGAGGATCAGCTATTGCTCCCCTTTCATCATGTGATTTTACATAAAATAGACGGAGAAATTAGAGATGCCAGCTCTTATTTAGGTAAACAGCATCTAGAATATTACCGACATCTGTAGAGTCATTCTAACAAATACCAGAACTGATAGCCTTTACACAAAAGAGGACCACCAACGTGACTACCAAAAGAAACAAAAAATACTGAAAAATAAATCCAAGCTCTTTGTTCTTTTTCTCACTGTGGGCACCTCGTGTATACACAGCTTACCACTGAACAGAGGATGGGGTGAATGTGTAACAGCATTTTAAAAATTCCATTTAACTTCTAATTCCATGTGATCAACTCTTTCCATTCATTTTCTTTTCATCTAAAAGGTATCAGTGTAAACTTTCTACATACCTTAAAAACCTATTGATGTACATGGCCAATTTTTTTAAATTATACTTTAAGTTTTAGGGTACATGTGCACAACGTGCAGGTTTGTTACATATGTATACATGTGCCATGTTGGTGTGCTGCACCCACTAACTCGTCATTTAACATTAGGTATATCTCCTAATGCTATCCCTTCCGGCTCCCCCCACCCCACAACAGGCCCCGGTGTGTGATGTTCCCCTTCCTGTATCCATGTGTTCTCATTGTTCAATTCCCACCTATGAGTGAGAATATGCGGTGTTTGGTTTTTTGTCCTTGTGATAGTTTGCTGAGAATGATGGTTTCCAGCTTCATCCATGTCCCTACAAAGGACATGAACTCATCATTTTTTATGGCTGCATAGTATTCCATGGTATATATGTGCCACATTTTCTTAATCCAGTCTATCATTGCTGGACATTTGGCTTGGTTCCAAGTCTTTGCTATTGTGAATAGTGCTGCAATAAACATACGTGTGCATGTGTCTTTATAGCAGCATGATTTATAATCCTTTGGGTATATACCTAGTAATGGGATGGCTGGGTCAAATGGTATTTCTAGTTCTAGATCCTTGAGGAATTGCCACACTGTCTTCCACGATGGTTGAACTAGTTTACCAAAAATCATTAGCTTTAATTTTAGATCTTTCTGTTACCTTATTAATAACTCCTCTCTCTTTCTCCAATCCTTCATTAAGGTGATTTTTAAAAAAAATAAATTAAAATGGTACTCATTATGGTTTTTTATTATTTTTTTAGCAATAAAGTATTTTAAATAAATTTAAGTACATTTTAGACATGCTATTGCACACTTCTTAGACTATAATATAGTGTAAAAATAATTTTTGCATGCACTTGGAAACCAAAACATTTGTGTGCCTTGCTTTATTGTGATATCTGCTTTATTGAAATATCTGCTTTATTGTGGTGGTCTGTAACTGAGCCCATTTTACAGATATGCCTGTACAATCAAGTAAAGAAAGAAAACTCCAAAATACTTTATATACACTTTAAAAAACTGGCAAATAATTGTTCCTTTCAAAAAATGAAGATGCCAATAAACTCATCTTTTTTTCCCTTCTTTCTTTCTTTTGACAGAGACTTGCTCTATCACCCAGGCTTTGCAGTGGCACAATCTCTCCTCACCACAACCTCCTCCTCCTGGGTTCAAGCTATTCCAGTGCCTCATCTTTCCAAATAGCTGGGATTACAGATGTGCACCATCACACCTGGCTGTGTCAAGAGTTATGGTACAACTGTCTACCCAGAAATCGGAATTTCTCCTTGACTTCTGTGTCACCCCACACAACAAATAAGTTTCCAAAGCCCATCAGTTCTGGAGAATATATATTTCCCTTTCCTCTTTTCATGTCTACCACCATCTTTGTATTTTTAGTACAGATGGGTTTTTGCCATGTTGGCCAGGTTGGTCTCGAACTCCTGGCCTCAAGTGATCTGCCCGCCACAGCCTCCTAAAGTGCTGGGATTACAGGTGGCATGAGCCACTGCGCCCGGCCTAAACTCATCTTTACATTAACAAGCAGCTGTTACCTAAAGCAACTAATGAAATGTGAACTCTCCCCGCTATCCTCTGCTTCAGTGGCTCCCTTTTACGGTTCATGGTTGTCACCAGGTGCTCTGTGCCTGGGGATGTATATGTCCAGTTTACCCATCTGAAATGCCCTTAACCCCACACCTAACACTGTTTTTGGACTGTTAATCCCAAAAATGCAGGACTGGCTATCTTGCTCCCTAATGTCTACATCCACATGTGAGCAGTTCCAGAACCAGTGTTGAAGATGTATTAGACACGGAAACAGAGATGATCAGTGATGGCATCCTCACTGACACTCGTACCCTCACAGAGAAGACAGACACACATATCAGCTTTCTTATTATCTCACATGTCATTGTTTACTTCCTTTAAATCCCTCATTTCCATCTTATAAACTGAAGTGTGGCCATTCCTTCACACGTTTCTTTTCTCACAAAAATACAAACACCAGGATTGTACGAATTTGTGTTTTCATGCCTCTATATTCAGAACCTAGAGGTCCGGGATTCTTTGTGTTTCATTCTGTATGGTTTCAGTCTACATCTAGTACAGGAGGGATGTTCAAAAATTAGCATCAAGAGCAAATATGGTTTCTTCTTATATTAATACTCCTGAATCACAAGGCTAGAGACAACCAGGTGCTCCCAAAAAGGTACCAAGTCAGTGATTTGTGATCTGTACCCAGCGTTGATCTTCAGCTGGTATTCACCCAGGAAGCCTCATTTATTCTCTGGAGTGCTTACGTTCTTAGCATCTCCTTGAAACTTCTTTCCTTTTGCTTCCCATAATCCCATTCTGCTATGTATAGACCCCATTTCCTCTCACTGTCCCTGGAACGTTAGTGTTTCTCAAAGCTCATGTCCTTTACCTTCTTCTCTGTTAGCTGTTTTTCTTGCAGGGGCTTACCTATTTCTGTGGCTCAAATTAAATATTAATGATTCCCAAATCTGTAGTTTGAGCTCTCATATCACTCCTGATCTCGAGGTCAATATTACCAATTTCACATGGGCAAATTCTCCAGACCCCTCAAATGTAAGAAATGAAATGTTCACATTGTTCCTCGTCTCCTCCCCATTTTTCCTGCTCCAACTTTTCCTGCTCCTCCTTTTCCTGCTCCTCTTCATTCTCTAATTTCAGTCAAGAGTTATGGTGCAATTGTCTACCCAGAAATTGGAGTTTCTCCTTGACTTCTGTGTCACCCCACACAACAAATAAGTTTCCAAAGCCCATCAGTTCTGGAGAACATATATTTCCCTTTCCTCTTTCCATGTCTACCACCATCTTAGTCTAGCTCTTCATCTATTTTCGTCTGCACTATTGCAATAGCATCCTACTCTGGCTCCATGATTCCAATTCCAACTTCCTGAAATTTTCCTCCAAAGAAGTTCCAGAGTGATCTAAAATTCAAAGCTGACAACATTTACCCTTCAAGCATTTTTCATTGTCTACAGGATCAATTCAAAACCCCGTGTGGCACATGAGGCCCTTCAAAATCTTTCTCTGGCCACTGTTCCAGATTTTTCTCTACCTCCTCCCTGCACATGGAGTCTTTATTCGGCCATAAATTGTGTTTATTTGATGTACTATGTGGTGTTTTCGCAATGACTGTTCTTTCTGCAGGAAAGGTCTTCTCTTCCATTTCTCTGTATCCAGCAGGAATTGACAGCTTTACAACAACTGTGAAGGCCAGAATCCAGTCCAGGAAAATGTGCCCTGGCCTGACCCTATCCCACAGTCATTTCTCAGTTGTTCTTAGCCTCCTCTAGACTGGAAGTGCTAATATATCCTCCTGGCTTCCCATTATATGTAGACCTATATCTATGGTGGATTCTTTGCTTTACAAATTCTTCCATTCACAACCCATCATCTCACATCTTATGTCACAACCTGTTTGTTTTTCTGGCCCAGTGCAAATAAACCAATAATGTGCCCTCACTGTCTTGCATTCGGAATCCTTCCTCTGGAACTTCTCTCAAGGATTCCTCGGACACAGACCAGTGCTTCTGGTCTAGATATGGCCTCAGACAGTGGATAATGGCTGGACCTTCTGGTAAAATTCATCTCAGCTTTTAAGTCTCAGCTCAAACAGTATACTTCTCTGTGAAGCTTCCCCTTCCCCTTTCCAGAGTCATTAATTTTTAGGCTTTGGATAAATTTCCATCACACAGCTTTCATTCTGTAATTAATATGTGTTTACTTTTTTCTCCCATTAGGCTATAGGCTCTTCAAAGGAAGACTGTAGTATTTATGTTATATCCACAATACCAGACAATGTCAGGAATATAGTAGATGCTTAATACATAACGATTGAAGGGAAATAAAATGGTAGTTCAATAGCATTTTTCTCCAGTGAATAATCCCTTAAGACTAAAGAAATTCATGTACCAATACATTTGGAGAATCTCACGTTTAATCTAAGATTAAATCCTAGCTACTCCTTCTAGTTTCTGTTTGCCTGTTTTTCTTAGTCTTGGTTGCTTTATCTTCTTGATTTTATTTGTATTAAGTAAATGTTTATTGAGGGAATTAAAAAAAACAGTAAATGAATGACTGAACTGATTTAGTATACAAATTAAATTCCCCTGCTATATGTTCATTTTCCTATCAATAAACATGGTTAATAAACTGTTGTTATAGGAGATCTTCGGGATATTTAAATGGGGTGTAAGATTCCTCCCCCACTCAACCACCCAACATTCTGAGGTGATTTACTTCTTCTCCTGGGAAGTAGATGGAATGAAAGACAGTAAAGACAGTCTATTTTTCTTAAAGTAAATAAAGGCACATGTGTCCTTCCCAAGCTAATGCTTGTCTGACCATAATAAATATGGTGGATTATGGAATGAAAATTTTTTTTACCCCAAATTCCTCTTTGGTTAAGAATTATGTTTATTTGCTTTTTAAAATATATGATTTTATAAAATATTAGAAAAAAAAAACAGTGTTTCTATTCTGCCATGGCATCTATTAAAAAGCAGATTTCATTTTTTATTTTTTCAATATATCTCCTCAGTTTATATTAAATGTTCAAGTAAAACTAATATGCACATATTTCCTTATTAAGGAAACTTATCCTCAAAAAAGAAAGAAAAATGATAGTAGTCCCAAAGAAAGTAAATTTTATGTTTAAGACAACCTGAAAAATTTGTATAATTACAGAGCAAAGTGAACAAGTATATAATATAAACTACTTCATCATATTTCCACAAAGCTTTTCCTATTTCTTTGTGCAGCATTCTTTCTGTTCTTATCCCAGATCTCTCAGAGGTAAAACTTTGCCAAGAATGAAAAAGTCTGTTGAACCCTGTAGTAGTTATATAAAATTGGCAAACGTCCATAAAGACTTTCAGAAGGACCACCAAATTCAGCTGAGCTTTCAACTAAAGACCCCTGAACAGTCAAGTTTAACTCTGATTGATAAGGGGGAAACCAAAGAACTGAATCAGCAGCGGTGGCAGTACATAGGTTTAGTTCTTCAATTTCTTTGATAAGTGGAGAATAGGAAAGGCTTCTACACCGGAGAGAGGAAAAACAAACAACTGTTTTAGTAGCACTGGGGCAAATGTGAATAATCTCTTCTTCTGATGTATTTCCCTGATCTCTTTGGGAAAAAAATGTCTCTCAACAGCACAGGAAGAAAACTGGTTCTTTAACCCCCTGATGACAGAAACAAATTGTTTTGCAGCTCTGGGAAGAGATTTGTCACCAATGTGCAAACCAGACCCTGTATCCTGGACATTGTGCAGAGCTGCAATATCACATTTTTAGGGAATTCCAAAGTGATCCTCTAATAACACAAGAGAATTTTTAACACAAAGTTCTGTCTTGATGGCTTAACATATATGGATTTTGTGTGTGTGTGTGATCTCAAATGTAATTTTGTTTTTAGTTTAAATATTATTACATTTGCTCTAATTCTCATGTGTCCATTTTGATATTTTTATCTCAATATAGTTTTTCAAAATGTTAATTCTGTTGTTAATGTTAAAATGTTAATGGATACATTTAACATCAAACATATTTAAAACTAAATAGCTGTTTATGGTAAATTGGGCAATAAAGAAAGCTTGCTGACTGAACTAACCATTCTATGAATCACTCCAGTGATGCTATTTCCATAAAAGAGACTGTCCTTATGGTAACCCTTCATAAGCATTTCATGAGCACTACATATTTTCGTAAGCATTTCCATACGCAGCTGAAGAAAGGCAACATATGTAGTACAAAAAGCATGAGCTCTAAATAACAGATAGACTTAGAATACAAATCCTAGCTCTACCACTGAGCAGATATGAAATTAACTAAGTAACTTAGCATCCCTAAGTGTCCAGTTCCTCAATTATATAATGAAGATGAAAAAACAAATCTTAAAGAATCACCATAAGCGCTAAATGAGAAAATATATTAAGCACCTAGCTGAAGGTCTTGCATGTAATAAGATGACCAATAATTGCCAATGTCCATTATCATCAAAAAATAAAAACAACCACAATGATAATAGTTCTTGAACAAGATACAAAGATATTAAGAAGTGAAACATCCTTCCCACAGGATTTGTGAGTAGTTCTGTATAAGGATAAACTCTGCATACATCATCCAAGAACAACAGAAAATCTAGAATGAACACTCAATTAATTATTTACAAGTAATATTCCATCAGTTCATTAAATGATAATTAACCTTTAATTATGTGCTGGCAATATCGACATAGTTCAATATTGGCATAGTTCCTGAGATCAACAGGATTACAATTTAGGACAGGGGTTTACACAACTGTATACTTGCAAAGACAGATGACTATGAGTAAGTATGAATGTAGGTGGACATTCAATCCAGACTTGAGGGAGATGACAGAATCAAAAAGAGCCTTCTCAAAGGATCTGACATCAGAGCTGAGCTTTGAAACATCAGGAGTCATCCAGGTGCAAAAAGTGATGTAGAATGGAGTTGAGAGGTGGAATGTGCCATGTAGGACCAGGGAGCTGCATGTGAAAGTCATGAAGACGTAAGAAAGCCCTGTGCATCCTGGGAATTACAAATACTTCAGGAAGGCTGGAGCATAGGATGCAACACATTTACCAAGAATATCAACGTGACATACGGGAATTTCATTTTTGGCAGGTACTAGAGTAAGATGTTGCCAACCCTAGAGAATGGGGTCTTTCCTTTATGAAAGGCATGTGCAATACTGGCAGCAACTAAAAATGGCAATGTGGATGCCAAAATTACTGTTGCACTTAAATTGTGGTAGTACTACATAATCAGGACCACCCAACTTTTGGTCTTCCAAAAGAAGGAGTGGCTATCTATTTAAGGCATAAGAAAATTACCAGCATAGTAAAGAACAGCTTCAATAAAGTATTTGTTCAAGCAAAATCAAACAACAGTCAAATTAGATGACTACACCACTAATTGCTAGAACAGTAGGAAGCAGGATGTTATTAAAAATTTATGAACATAGGCATCAAGTGAAATACTTGTAAAACAGAAACAAAATACATTAAAATGTTTTTGGCCCAAAATCAAATTCACATATTGAATAAGAGTCAAAACAAGGTATAACATTCTTGTAATAGTAGTTATAATGAACATAAACAGCAGCTGAAAAAAATAACCCCACACTTGATACTTAGGGGATTTGCCTAAACACAAAGAAAACAAATACCTTTATTTTTCTCTTCTCCACTTCCAGATATTATTTTAGGTGACACTACAGGCAGTGAGAACTGCTATAGGATTAATGCATCTTAAAGACTTTCTTGCGTTGAAAGGAAGATGAATCCCAAATCCTATAGGGTAAAATTTGGTGGGAGCAGGTAAAGAGTCAAAATGTAGGTTTTTGAAGAGCTCTGTCCAAAGTTGAAGGGCCGACATTAAGTCAGGGAACAAAGCTACACAAAGAAAGGGTAGGGCTTAAATATTTTTAGCTCCTTTCATTTGAACTAAGGGGATGGTCACAACATCAATTTTGTATCTTTCTTCTTCTATGTTGTAACATCCACCAATCATCCCCATTCCTTGGGCAAAGATGATTAAAACCACAGGAAGTCATGTGGAGATGTTAAGGATGTACCTTCAGGAGAAGACTAAAATATTAGGCAATAAAAAAGAAGTGTAACTTTTCTAATACCCCCTTCTCCAGAGGCCAGTGTACAGACAGATGCATCAAGAAAGCAATAGTTCCCAAATACTAGTTCCCAAACTATCAATGTGAAAAGGAGACCAAGCAGCACTGAGATATATAAAAGGAGCACGAGATGGAGAGAAGCTGCTGCCAAGATGACATCTCAATACTGCACATGAAACACCCCCTGCACCTACCATGTATCCTAGAGGTGACCCCTAGGTTACATACATAACAGATAAGATGCTGATCTTCTAAAATCTATCAGAGAAGTGAGGGAACAGGACAAATCACGGCTCCAAAAACTGGGGAGACAGACAGGCAGATACAGAGAATCAAAACTTAACTGGAACTCAGCAGAAACCAGTGCCAGGATAGGAAAACCCGAAGTGTAGTTGATGAATTGCTGGAGATTCAGTAGGGACAGCAATGAGAATCAAAAACTCCAGAGGGACACAGTAATGGGGCCCCCACACTTTTGTGAGTTTTATCTCTAGGAGCTCTGCCAGGGGCTCGCAGTGAATACTGGAGAAAAAGACAGTGAATGTCATGCTTTCAGATGAAGGAGGGGAAATAAGCCATTTTGAAATAACAACAGCATTTTATTCTTGTCAACAAGGCCTCCATCAGGAGAATCTATTTTCACAGAGCATAGCCTGTTGCGATTTTATCAGAGCCTGATCAACCTGAAGATTAGGAAAATCTTCCTCTAGCCATGTTATCCTACTTAAGGGAAAGGGGAAATAAGAAGCACTGGTGAGGTTCACAGCTCAAGGGCACAGCTTACCAAAAACTGAGACCTAATCATAGAATTGTAGAACTCTCCTCCTCTCCCCACACCTTACCACATTACTAAAGGCCTATTTACCACAGTTCCTTTTACCCAGTTTATCATGCCCACCTCTCAAAAGTGATTACAAGGCATACTAAAAAGCAAAACATATGGTGTCAGAGACTGAACAAGCATCAGAACCAGAGTCAGATATGATAAGAATGTTGGAATTATCAAACCAGGATTTTTTAAACTGTAATTAATATGCTAAGGGCTTTAAAGGTAAAAGTATATAATATGCAAGGAGAGATGATTAATGTAAGCAAAGAGACAGAAATTATAAAAAAGCATTAAAAAAGGAGTGCTAAGGATTTAAAACACTGTAACACAAATGAAGAATGCCTTGATGGACTCAGTAGCAGACAGGACATGGCTGAGGAGAAGAATCTCTGAACTTGAGAATGTGACAATGGAAACTTTCAAAACTGAAAACTAAAGAGAAAAATGACAGAAAAGGAAAATAAAACAGAATATTTAAGAACTGCGAGACAACTACGGAAGTGTAACATGCGTAATAGGAATATCAGAAGGAGAAGAAAGAGAAAAAAAAACAGAAGTAATATTTGTAACAATGATGACTGAGAATTTTCCAAAATAAATGTCAGACACCAAACCACACATGAATACCAAGCAGGATAAATGCCCCCACACTACACCTAGGTATACATATCACATTCAAACTTCAGAAATCAAATATAAACAAAAATCTTGAAAGAGACCAGAGGGGGAGAAAAACACCTTATCTATTGAGGAACAATCTAAATAGAATAAGAATTACGTCCAATTTCTTCTCAGAACCCATGTAAACGAGAAGAAAGTAGAGGGAAATATTTAAAGTGTTGAGGGAAAAAGGACCATCAAAATAGATTCTGTACTCTGTGAAATTATTCTTCATAAATAAAGAAGAATCAAAACTTTCTCAAACAAAAATTGAGAGAATTTGCTGCCAGTGGAACCACCTTGCAATAAATATTAGAAGTTCTTCAGACAGGAGAAAAAATATTAGGTCAGAAACTCAAATCTCCACAACCAAAGTGCATCAGGGAATGACTAAGTGAAAGTAAAATGGAAACTGTTATTTCCCTTATTCTTAGTTGGTCTAACAAATGCTACTTTATTCAAAATAATAGCAACAATGTATTCAGTTATGTGTGCTCATGTGTATTATATATATGCTTATATATACTTATGCATAAGAGAAATGACAGCAATGATACAAGAGATGGAAGAAAGACATTAGGAATATTAGAAATATTTTGATATTATAAGTTATTTGCACTATCTGTGAAGTGGTGTAGTGTATTTAGAAAGTGGACTCAGATTACTTGTAAAGTGTATTGCAAACTCTGGAGCAACTACTTAAAACCAGTGTTTTTAAAAAGATAAAAATAAAAAAGAAGTATAACTGATGTGCTAAAAAAGGAAGAAAATGGAATGATATAAAATGCTCAATTAAAACCAAAAAGGCAGAAAAAAATGTAGAATATAAAATAGAAACAAAAGAACAAGGACAACAAACAAAAAACAGTACCAAATATGGTATAATCACTTTAAACATCAGTGGTCGAAATACAGCAATTAAAATACAGAAATTATCAGAGTAAATAAAAAACAATAATTGATACACTTTGTCTCCAAGAAATCCAATTAAAATATAAAGACATATAGACTAAAAGTATTAATAGAGAAAGGGGAGATGTTGATCAAAGGGTACAATGTTTCAGTTAGACTTGAATGAGTTTTAGTGATCTATTGCACTGCATAGTGACCCCAGTTAATAATAATATATTGTATATTTCAAAATTGTTAAAATAATGCATTTTAAACATTCGCACCACAAAAAAAGATAACACACGTGAGGTGATGGGTATGTTAATTACCCTGATTTACTCTTTCTACAACATATACATGTAACACTACATCACGTTGTACTTCATAAATATATATAATTATTACTTGTCAATTAAAAATATAAGCAAATAAAGTAAAAATAAAGGTTTTGAGAAAGATGTACCACGGGAACACTAATCAAAAGAAAGCTGGAGTAACTATATTAATCTTAGACAGAGCAGTCTTCAGAGAAAGAAAAGTTATCAGGAATAGAGTTTTACATAATAATAATAAAGGGGTTAACATTTCAAGAAGACGAAACAAGTCTTAATGTGTATGTGCCCAACAAAAGGGCATCAAATTATGTAAGCCAAAAACTGATAGAATTGCAAGAAGAAATATATTAATCCATTATTACAGTTGGACACTTACACCCCTCTGTCAGAAATGGACAGATCCACCACACAGAAAATCGATGAACTCAACAGACCCATCAATCAACTGGGGGTATAAGTGACATATATGGACTACTTCATCAACCAACAGCAGACTACACATTCTTCTCAATTTCACATGAAACATTCACCAAGATACCCCACATTTTTGGACTAAAACATGCCTTAACAAACTTAAAAGAATAGAAAGTATAAAATGTTTGCTGGCAGATAACAATGGAATGAAACTGGAAATCAAAAACAGCTAAAACATCCCAAAATACTTAGAGATTAAACAATATACTTCTAAATAACACATAGGTCAAAGAAGAACTCTCAAGAGAACTGTTTAAATATTTTGAACTAAATGAAAATAAAAATAGACCTTACCAAAATTTGTGGAATGTAGTGAAAGCAGTGCTTAGAGGAAAATTTATAGCATTGGATGCACGTATTAGAAAAGAAGAAATATCTAAAATTAATAATCTAAGCTTCCACATTAGGAAACTAAAAAAGAACAAATTAAATCCAGAATAAGCAGAATAAAAGAAATAATAAAAGAGCAGAAAGTAAAGAAATAAGAAATTAATAGAGAAAATCGGCAAAACTCAAAACTGGTTCTTTGGAAAAAATCAATAAAATTGATAAGCCTCTAGAGAACACACAAATTGCTGATAAAGGATATGAGAGTAGGAATATCACTACAGATCCCATGGACATTACAAGGATAACAAAAGAATACTATGAACAGCTCTATGCCCATAGATTAAATAAATCAACTCCTTGAAACACACAAACTGCCCAAACTCACTTACACAGATCTGAGTACGCCTATTAATGAATGAATAATTAACACTCTTCCAAAACAGCACCAAACCAAGATAGCTTGAGTGAATTCTACCAAACATTTAAAAAGAGAAAGTATATCAATTCTCTAAAAAGCTCTACAAGAAGATAGAAACAGAGGAAGTACTTCCTAACTTATTCTACAGGGCCAGCATTATCCTAACACCAAAACCAGTTAAAGTCATCAGAAGAAAAGAAAGCCTATCAATCAATATCTCTCATAAACACAGATGCAAAAATCTTCAACAAAATACTAGCAAATAAAATTCAACAATGTATAAAAATAATGATACACCAAAACCAACTAGAAGTTATCCCCAGTATGCAAGGCTGGCTCCATATTTAAAAATTCATTAAGGCAATCCATCACAGCACAAGGCTAAAAAAGAAAAATCACATGGTCTGCATCTATAGATTCAGAAAAACCATGTGACAAAATGCAACACCCATTAATGATAAAAACTCTCAGCAAATTAATACAGAAGAGCCTCTACCGGATAAAGAACATTGACAAAAACCTACAGCAAACATCATACTTAAGAGTGAGAAACTCAAAGCTTTCCAGTTTAGATCAGGAACAAGGCAAGATGTCTCTTCTCACCACTGCTTTTCAACATTGTATTGGAAGTCTAGCTAATGTAATAAGACAAGAAGAGGAAATTAAAAGGTATACAGGTTGGGAAGGAAAAAATAAAACTGCCTCTTTTTTTGTAGATGATATGATTGCCTATGGAGAAAATTGGAAAAATAAACAAAAAACAACTCTCTCAGATTTAATAAGCAATTATAACAAGATTTCAGGATAAAAGGTTAATATGCAAAAGTCAATTGCTTTTTTATATTCCAACAATAAGTAAGAAGAATTTGAAATTGAAAACACATTACCAAGCCAGGTGTGGTGGCTCATACCTGTAATCCCAGCATTTTGGGAGGCCAAGGCTAGTGGATTGCTTGAGCCCAGGAGTTTGAGACCAGCCTGGGAAACACGGCAAAACTCCATCTTTACAAAAAATGCAAAAATTAGCTTGGTGTGGTGGCATGCACCTGTTGTCTCAGCTACTTAAGAGGCTGAGGTGGAAGGATCAATTGAGCCAGAGGGTGGAAGCTACAGTGAGCTGTGATTGTGCCACTGTCCTCCAGCATGGGCAACAGAGTGAGACTCTGTCTCAACAAAAGAAAAAAAAAAAAATTCAAAAACAATTATTATTTACATTAGCACCCAAAACAATAAAATACTTAGATATAAATCTAAAAAAAATGTGCAAGATCTATATGAGGAAAACTACAAAACTCTGATGAAAGATATCAAAGAAGAACCAAATAAATGGAGAGACATTCCATATTCATGGACAGGAATATTCAATATTATCAAGACATCAATTTTTCCCATCTTAATCTATAGATTCAATGCAATCCCAATCAAAATCCCAGCAAGTTACTTTGTGGATGTCAACAAACTGATTCTAAGGTTGATATAGAGTGGCAAAAGATCCAGAATAACTAACTCAATACTGAAGAACAAATTTGAAGGACTAACAAAAGTATAAAACTCCTATGTGATAACACAGGAGAAATCATAGATAAACTTGGATTTTGTGATGACATTTTAGATAAAACCCCAAAGTGACAAACTATGAAAAATATAACTGGACCTCATTAAAATTAAAATCTACTCTGTGAAAAACAATGTAAAGAGAATGAGAAGACAGACTGGGAGAAAATATTTGCAAGAAGCATCTGATAAAGGGTGATTATCTCAAATATACAAAGAACTCCTAAAACTCAACTATAAGAAAACTAACAACCTAATTAAAAAGCGGACAAAAGATCTAAAAAGGTAGCTCACCAAAGAAAATAAACAGATGACAACTAAACATATGAAAATTTCAGTGGCATATGTCATTAGGAATTGTAAATTAAAACAACAATAAGATATTACTATACACCTATTAGAATGACCAAAATCTAAAACCCTGACAACACCAAATGATGGCAAAGATGTGGAGCAGAAGGGACTCTCATTCATTGCTTGTGGGAATGCCAAATGATACAGCCACTTTGGAAGAAAGTTTGGCAGTTTCTTACAAAATGAAACATACTCTTACCACATGATTCAGCAATAATGCTCCTTGATATTTACCGAAAGGAACCAAAAACTTATATCCACACAAAAATCTTCACTCAAATGTTTAAAACAGCATTATTCATAATTGCCAAAACTTGTAAATAATCAAGATGTCCTTCAATAGGTGAAAGGATAAACTGTGATACATCCAGACAATGGAATATCATATCATTCAGGCTAAAAAGAGATGAGCTATCAAGCCATGAACAGACATGGATGAAACTTAGATGCATACTAATAAGTGAATGAAACCAACCTGGAAAGGCGACATATTATATGATTCCAGCTATATGATATTCTGAAAAAGGCAAAACTATGGAGACAGCAAAAAGATTAGTAGCTGCCAAGGGTTAGAGGAGAGGGAGGGATGAACAGTCTGAGCACAGAGGATTTTAGGATGGTGAAACTGTTCTGTAGGATACTACAGTGTTGGCTACCTGACATTATACATTTGCTCAAACCCACAGAATGTCCAGTGCCAAGAGGGAACCCTAATGTAAACTATGGACTCCGGGTGATAATGATGTGTCAGAGTCAGCTTATTGATTGTAATGAAGGTACCACTATGGCATGGGATGTTGATAGCACAGGAAGGTGAAGGGTGGGCAGGTACATGGGAATTCTCTGCGCTTTCCACTCAGTTTTGCTATAAACCTAAAACTACTCTAAAAATTTAAGTTTATTAGAAGGAAGGAAGTGAGGGGAATCGAGGGGAGAAGAAGGGAAGTCTGTCATAAATTTGGCAGCAAAAGTAGATAGAATGTGAGTTATGCCCAAGATGCCCACAAAGAAAGTGCTATAGGAATTAGGAAAGGAAGACATTACTTATATGTTGTAACATGTAAGTTATACCTTATAGCAACTTTGATTATGGGACTGTGATGAATTCCCAATGAACTTTCTAGGGGAAACAAGTCATAATTCTAATGGAAGGACATTTGGAGCTGTGAATGTTATCAAGGACAGAAAGACACATGTAAGCATGGTTTTTGGATATAACCAAAAGTATATTTGACAGTAAATCTACTAAGCAATAACTTTCCAGGAAAATATGGAACCATGAACATAGAGAAATATACTTATTGAGTTATTCACACACTTTGACAGTCCTCAGAAATAAGCCAATGCCAAGGAATGACCGTAGAGCAGACAAGTATAAAGACAATCAAGACTTGTGGGGGACTGTGCTGTTCAGCACTAATCATGCCAGATGACATAGCTAGTTATCTGCAGTTTGCTTATTTAATAAAAGAAGCTAAAATGTAACTATTGCGGACCCACAAAAGCTATGCAAGGAGAATCAAATATCCTGCAAATTAATCCCACTATTTAAGGGATTTGAAATTTCTTCCCAAAGATATCTATTTGATACCTTTCAAGTGTAGGGCAGAATATTCACATAAATAGCTGAGTTGTGGGGTATTTATCAAATTTTCTCTGACAACAAGAACTTTAATAAGGATGTCTTCCCTCCCCAATAAATGAACAAACAGCAGCCATAAAAATAAGGATCCAATGCCAGTGATACTAGAGTGACTGCCTAAAAAAAAAACAGGTTGTTTTTCCTTTAAATATAATCTATAAACTTTTGCTTACTGAAACAAAATCATATCATTCTATTAAATATGTCCTCCTAAATGAAACCTTATTTTAATTATTTTCACAATCTGATCTATAGTAAGCCTAGCCCATATTAATAATGTGAGCTAAAGGGATAAATAAATAAATAAGTTGATATGATTAAGTTCTGGCAAAAATAGAGTTTAGGTAAATTAATAACTACATGGAAATACAAACCATAAAGTAAACTGAACTTCTCCCTAACAAAATATGTATGGAGTAATATGCTTATATTTGAACCAAAGATTAAGAAGTACAGCATTTCACAATTACAAAGAAATAATATTCTATTGATAATGCTGGAATTGAAAAATGAAATTATTTCCACATTAACATAAAGAATCATGATATATATGCAATTATTCTAAGGTGTTCAATGAGGTCAGATGTTGCTGTTGGACATAGGCCTCGGTTCTACAGCCATCACGGATTATTCCTCCCTCTTTAGGATTTCTCCTTCATCTTGAAACCCCTGTATCTCCCTGATCCTGATTTGTGTGCCTCTGACACACAAATGGAAACAAACAAGGTAAGTTTATACAAGTTGAGAAACAGATACATAAAATCTACATGCTACTTCAACCTATTTTGCCCAGTCCCAAACTTTTCACTAATGACTTTACATTAAAAGTTCAGAGTATGTTTCATTCACAAAAAAATATTTCACAAAATGTAAAACTAGAAATACATAAGGAAAAACTCTACTTTCTATTATTTTACTATTCTGTTTCAGGCACTGACATTGACTTTAAAATTTGTAAAATCAGCATTTTACTTCATGCAAATGGTATTTTTGACAATCCCTGCTCCTTATATTTCTTTAATTTTATGCAGTAAGATGGTTATTCAGCTTTCCTCTCCCATGTATTTTTCAGCATTTTATTCTGACTTAAATTCAAGGTTTTAATTAACGTCCTAAAATGTAATTTTAAGTTATCCTATGCAATTATGTGGGCAAATTACTCAGAGAAGGCTAGACATTATTAGCTATAATCACCTTCTAAAATAAAAGTTTAAAATATATGATTTTGTGAAATTTTCCATTCTGGCTACAACCTCTCCTTACTAATACACAAAATTTTAATTTTATTTTTCTAGTCTAACTACAAAAGAATGTCACATAAAAAACATCAGCTCACAAAGACTGAAGAATTAAAATTTTTTTTCCAGCTTCTAATCTTTCATTGCTAGTAGAGAATGGTTATCATGCCTTTAAAATAAATGTGTGTATTTAATTAAACTTAATTAAATAATTAAGTTTTCCCTCTACAGCAGATGTCCAACAATAAATGCAAAATGCTCCATCTCTCACCTTAAATTGTCCTAATTCCTAGAAAGATTTCTACCCAAAATCAAATGAGCAAAACAAAGAATTATATAGCCAAATAATACAGTTCTACTAATTCATTCTTAAAAAAATCACACATTTACCTTTCTTCTTTGGGTAGAAAAACATATAGCAAGATATAAAAATATATGTATATATTATCTCCCCCTTAACTTAAACTAGGAATTTGTCAATGAATATATTTAACTGTGTTTGATACTGACCAAATGTCCTGAAAGCTTGAAATAATCTATTTGTCATGGTAACTTAATATTACAGAATTTAAAAACAGAAAACAAAGCAAAACCCCCCCACACTTTTCGCCTAGAATAACAACAACAAAGGTAAGCAGAAGTGTCTTAAGATTTTATTCCACCTAAAAAGACTCTATTTTCTGATAGAATCTATGTCTACAGACAGGAAACTGAGTTATCAAAGGGATGTATAAAGTTAAACTCTATCTATTACTACAATGTGTATGTGGAGAGAAGGCAGGTAGTAGATGGCTATCCCTTAAGGAACTAATCCTGATGGTATTACCTCACAAATGATGACAAGGACTTTTTGGAAGGCAGTTGCTGCAATCTAGGTAGTTCCTTCAATATGCAAATTTATCCCTAGTGACAGGGCAAATAGCCTTCTCAGGAAGTAACACTTCTAAATTACAGGAACTGTGTGCTAAATACAGCTGGCAGGGTGCTGAACACCCGATTTCTTTCAATGAGTATATTTTCATGCTCACACTGAACCAGCTCTGAATGAATCTTCAAAAAGTGAGACTAAAACAGGCAACTTTAATACATCTTCTTAAACCAAGTATTTCTAGAATACAAACTGTCAACATTTCTTCGCTTCATTTCTCTACAAAATTATTCCTAAGGTTTCTGTGCCCGTGGTCACTGGCTGAGAAGAACTAGCAGTTGATGGAACAGTTATTTTAACATCATTATTATTGTTGTAATGGTGATCAATTTTCAACACATGGAATCTATGGCCTATTGCCACTGAAGAACAAACTGGATACTGGCACAACTCCTGTAGGAAAGAGGTAACAGTTGCCCCACACTGGAAGCCCGAGGGAGCTGATCAGATACAAACACAGAAAGAAAGAGTGACATGATTTCAACATCAAGTAAACACAAACATTGCCATTTTTCTTGAATGATTATTAAATAAGCAATATTTGGGGACCTTAAAAAATACTATCTACTAACCGTTACCTTTGTTGTTCTGAAGGAAACTAAAAGGTGGGAAGAGATATACATAATAACTCCAATTCATATTACTAAGCCACAAAGCTTTTTACTCCTTCACCAAGTTCTGTAATTATTTCCTATGTGCTTTGCTGTGCCGTAATATTTTTTGTAGGAAGAAAACATGTATGTAAGAAAATTTTATTATTTTGCTACTTGAAATGGAAAGAGGTTTTTTTTAAATCCCCAATGTTTTTCTAATCCTCACGGTAAAAAAGAAAAGTAAAGCATGCAAATGAAAAACATACTTTCTTGATAAATGTTGACATTTTTTTCTAAAAAGACAAACGTAGTCATCAGAGATTATTAACTTACTTTATTTTGTATATAACTTCTTTTAAATCGAGACTTTCAAGGAATAAGAATGTATTTGCAAACAATGTGAATAAAATCTAAATCCAACTCTGAAAACAAGAAGGTAGAACAAAGCTTCCAAACCTGGTCTGCTTTGACTTGAGATCAAGAACTTGGGAAAATTTCATTACCATATCACCATGTCACATACTGACAGTAAAAACAAAACACAGTGATATTAGGATATAATATAAATTTAAAACATTGCACATTTAAATAATGTTCTAAAGTTATAACAGCTCTTCTTATTTTAAGGACAAAAGAAGCCAGATTATAACAGATACTACAAGCTTACACAATGTCTATTGTATTTATTCCAAATATTAGATAACCTGATAATTTTCATTTTGAAAAGCTTTGAGATACCACCTCTCGAGAAACTTCTCTCTTCACTTCTTCACTTCCCTTTTACATTCTTATTTTCCCAACTTATGTTTTCCCCAACTTTATGTTTTATATTAGATAACCTGATAGCTTTTCATTTTGAAGACCTACGAGTTAATGGGTGCAGCACACCAGCATGGCACATGTATACATATGTAACTAACCGGCACATTGTGCACATGTACCCTAAAACTTAAAGTATAATAATAAAATTAAAAAAAAAAAGAAACGTCTCTCTTTACTTCTTCACTTCCCTTTTACATTCTTATTTTCCTAACTTATGTTTTTCATTCAGTGAAATAACAGATGGGAACAATAACAGAAATGGAGAAAGAGATAAAAGCTTCAGAAGAGTGAATAAGAATTACTCATAATCACATGGCTCAAGGATGTTAGTTTTAAAAAGCTTAAAGAATTATTCATAATCTGATAGAATATTACACTGGCACAGTATATTATTTCTTGGCAATAAAATATTCCAAAGTGTTTTGATACATTTGAGTATGAGGACCATGCCTTCATTCCTTAGTGTGTGCTACTTTAATTAAACATCTATAAGGCGTAATAGAACTTCAGCACTGCTTGGTCATAATTTGGTCCATTATTCTTTCCAATACTCAAGGAAGAGATTAATTATCAATGTATAAGTAAATTCTAGTTGCAACAGTATGCAACAGTATGCCAAAGTAGAAAAATCATTGATTTTTGATTCATATATGTGAAGCACATAAACACAGCTCTAGTGGTTATTAGTTGGGTGTCCTCAGACAAGTTACTTTCTTTTATTTATTTATTTTTATTTTTAAATAGATACAGGGTCTCTCTATGTTGCCCAGGCTGGTCTCAAACTCCTGGGATCAAGCAATCTTCCCACCTTAGCTTCCCAAAGTGCTAGGATTACAAGTGTGAGCCACCGCGCCTGGCCAAACAAGTTACTTTCTGAGCTTTAGATTCCACGTTAGTAAAGGAGAAAAAAAAGAAGAAAAACCAAACTCGAGGGGCTAAGTGGGCTAAAAATCAGTTGGTACTTAGTAGGCCGTAAACGTTAGCTGATTTCCTTGGCGTGAGACAACGAACCTCGGGTAGTTACCCCAGACAAGGACGCTGCTTTGCGAGTAGAAAAAAGAGGAGGCACAGCAATGCTCACAGTTAATGTATCATTCAGCTTAAGTGATTTTTAAATCTTGCATAAAATAAACTTAAATAGAACCTAAATTTTCAAAACTAATGAGAAATGACAGAGTTATTCTTTCCTATTGAGGCAGAGCAGGGACGCTCTTTTTAGGGCCCTGCAGTCTCCTGAGCATGGAAATAAAGGAAAACCTTGAGTTCCTTCAAGGGAAATTCCAAGCACCTAGCTGGGGCTGAGAAGTAAATAAGCAGCTTGATAAGCAAGAAGGTAACAGTAGCCTAAAACAATAGCCAAGGAAGTTAGAGTCAGGAGATGTTTGGTTCCTTTGTAGAAACTAAAACTAACAGCGTATGTCCCTGAGTTGTTTTTCAGAAACCCAAACCCCCACCAAACAGATCTGCTGGCACATAGACCTTAGATAAGAGGAAGCTGAGGACTAAACTCTGGCCACCATTCCTTGTTCAAAATTTCTTCCAGAGGAGCCTGGAAGAGGTGATGCTCATGAGCCAGAGCTAACATTCTTTTCTGCCAATCTCAAATTTTTAGACAAAGCTTTGCTTCCCAAACCTATCACAAATCAGAAAATCTTTCAATCCACCTATGACCTGTGGGTCCCTGCTTCGAGCTCTTCCTCCTTTTTAGGTCAAACCAATGTAGCCTCCATGTATTGATTTATGACTTTGTCTATAACTTCCTTCCTGAAATTTACTCCTGCCTTTAAAAACTCTTACCTGCAAGACATCAGGGAGTTCGGGTCTTAAGCATGAGCTGCCCAGACTGTCCTTGTTTGGTGCCCTGCAAATAAACACCTTCCTTTTCTGTGTATCCCAGAGTAGGACAGTCACTTGACACTAATGTAAGACTAAAACAGGGGCCCATGGTATACTGGAAGAAACCTTGCAATGGTGACTTCAGGGAATTTTCTGCTATCTAATCACCAAAGTCTCCTTTGGATAAGAGAGCATTAGATAAGCAAATCAGAGAAGCTGGTATCTAAGGTTCCTTCTGGCTTGTCTGACCACTGACCAGTATTACTTGTAGAACTCAAGCTATGGTATGAAGCACGTTGTGTTATAACAATATGTGAAACTGGGAACAGAAAAAGTCAGGAATTTCTGAACTGAAGAGATTTTAAAACACAGATTCGCAGGCTGGAAAGTCTGATTCAACGTGTCTAAGGAGAGCCTGGATGTGAGCATTTTATGAAAGCTCTTCAGGTGATCCTGATGTACAACCAGGCTTGGGAATCAGTGAAATAATTCATGCTTTTACTTAGTTGGACCTTATTTTGTCAAATAATTTTTTTTTTTTTGAGACAGAGTTTCACTCTTGTTGCCCAGGCTGGAGTGCAATGGTGTGATCTTGGCTCACCGTAACCTCCACCTTCCAGGTTCAAGCGATTCTCCTGCCTCAGCCTCCCGAGTAGGTGGGATTACAGGCCTGCACCATCATGCCCGGCTAATTTTGTATTTTTAGTAGAGACGGGGTTTCTCCATATTGGTCAGGCTGGTCTCGAACTCCTGACCTCAGGAGATCCGCCCACCTGAGCCTCCCAAAGTGCTGGGATTACAGGCATGAGCCACTGCGCCCAGCCCTTGTCAAATAATTTCTATAATTTTTCTGTAGTTTTTCACTTGAATCCCAATCATTGTGCTCAAATCTAACATATATTATAAAGTAATATAATTTTCTTCAAAAGTAATAAAAATACTCGAAAGAGATACCGCAAAAATGTTTAGAGTGGACAATTTATGAATAACATAGGCAAAATATGAATTAAGTGATGACTATATGGTGTGATAAAACTGAAACCTGGGCCAGGCTAGTCTTTGATTTGTAAAATTTGTCCTATTCCTTCGACAGATGTTAAATGTTATCTTTCTGGCAACCAATGTGGCACCCATACCATATTTTCATTCCTGCTGGACTGTCATAGTAAACTAAGAAGTTATAGATTGTATAGATTTGGCCAAGTTTAATAAGCCCTTGAAGGAAAGTCTCTAAGTTGTCTCTCTCTCTTGCAAAGTTGTTTAAGATTAAAAGAATTGGGAGATATACCTAATGCTAGATGACGAGTTAGTGGGTGCAGCGCACCAGCATGGCACATGTATACATATGTGACTAACCTGCACAATGTGCACATGTACCCTAAAACTTAAAGTATAATTAAAAAAAAAAAAAAAAGAATAAAAGAATTGTGGATTTTTGAGGTGAGATAACAGATGAAAATTCCTTGGCTTAACAAAGCAATTAGTAATTTATTAAATCCATCTTTCCACAGAATATACATACATACATATATATATGTTAATTAATAAAATCCCTCTAGACTGTGGAGACTAAAATAGGCCATACTGATGAGGATGATTAAAGTCAAATCAACAGAAGAGTTTAAATTTCTGCTTCCACTAGTGTTTATTTGCATAATATTATATAGTGCTCTACATTATAACAGACAGTAAATGTTCACACAAAAGATATACAGCCTCTACTTTCAAAATACTCAAAATTTAGTTGTGAATGTATACACATTAAAGAATTATAAATAGTAATAGAAGGTAGCACATAAATAGATGTCCCAAAGAATGGCACTGAAAAAAAATAACGTAAGAATTCAGCTAGAAAGATAGGAATATAGAATGGAGCGATCAAGGATGATTTCCAGGAGATAGAAATCGTTCTGAATCATCAAAGATGAATATTTTTATCAGTAAAAAGGGGAAGGAGTGAAGCAAACTAGAAAATAAGCTTGAACAAAATCATAGAAATGAGCAGCAAATGAGTATGTTGGGACCAAGCAAACAAGTAAAGAGAAAAAAATCTGGCTTTTAGTTGATGGTCTTGATTTAGAGGAACCATGAGCAAAAGCATGGGTAGTTTCAATGGGTCAATATCTGGCAAGAAAGAGGGACCTAAAAAACTAATCTGAAATATTTGTACTTTATCCTACATGCCACTGGTCATTAAACTCTTTTGATCATGTAACCCTTTCATTTTCGAACCTGCATTAAAAATACATATTTATTTATATTGCATATTACTAAACCATTTGTTTATAATTCATATACCAAAACAGAAAATTTAAAGGAATGATAGAAAGAAGAAATGAAAAATAATTTTAAATATCTTGCTAATCATGATAGTTTTATACCATCATTACTTAATATCTCAAGGTTCAGCATAACGATAAATGAAACAATATTTCAAACACTCTTTTGGCTAATTTCAAATAATTTCACAATAAGATATGGTTAGACAATCATGATTAGCCTTATATGACAAAGAACTCTAAAGAGAAGGTAAAAATAATTTTAAAATCTCATCAGTAATGTTTTTGTTGGTTGCTTATTGAAAAGATAATATTTTGGAAACATTGGCTTAATAAAAGTACTATTAAATTTAATGTATTTAATTTACTTTTAAAGTACTATTAAATTTAATTTTACGGATTTCTTTTTACTTTTAAAAGTGTGACTATTAGAGAATTTAAAATTACATATGTGGTTCGCATTGTATTTCCATTGGACAGTATTGCCCTCTATACTGATGTGGCAGAAATGTAACGGATGATGGAACGCAAGATAATTCTGAATATTGTTTTAAACATACTGCTGTACTCACTGCCTTACTCAATCAGATCATCTTTGGTAGGATATGTATTTTGTTATTTAACACCACATATTTCATAGCTATTCAGTGGGAATATACAAGGAAAATACGGTGAGGGGGAGTTCATGATCAGGTTACAGGGAGATGAAAGCTGTGTGATCAAGATATCACCAACCAACCAGAGCAGTAAAATCTTCCCTCTCATATCTCATTATCCAGATGCAACCTATATTCAGGAGAGCAGGAGTGTGACGTTCACAAAAAGGCAGGGCAGCACATGCTGAGGCTGGGCCATCATAGGCGCAAGTCCTCCTCACCTCCCCATTCACCAGGAACCCAGATGGTGCCCCTGAACAGTGGCAGTGCATTGTGAGAAACCCCGCAGTGCCAAGAAGGATAAGCATGCGCTGTTGCTGGACGATGTCAGCACACTCACCACTGATACCATCTAATGGATGTCGGGAGGCAGAGTGATCCTCAGCTCTCTCTTCATACTACCAGGGACTCAAACAGAAAGGAGCACCATTCTTTGCTAGAGATAAGGGCCCCTCAGTAACTTCATCCTAACTAGACTTGGAGAGTCATGGTATTGAGAAGTGCCAATGAGGTTTTAAAATGAAAAATATTAGGTTTGAAAAAGCAAAAAGAATTGGGCAGAGATAGTCACAAATGCATCAGTAAGAGTGTCACAGAGAGAGGGAATGCTTGGTGCCTACCCAACAAAGCCTCATGGAGGAAAAGCCATTAGACTTTAAATAGTCTACAGTCTAGATCTTTACAATATATATAATACACACACACATGCATACACACACATAAATTTACATGGTTTGTTTTTACTTTCTTTTGTTTATTATGATAATTTCACTCCCAGATTCTTAAGAAAAGTTTTCAAAGAGGCTGCTTCCCATACGCTTTCTAGAACTTACTTTCCTTGAACCCAATACTAACAGATCAGCTATTATTGAGAGATATAAAATAAGGGCCTTATCTCAGATTTGCTTTTATTCACTTTAATCCTGACAATATATAAGAGAATTTTAAATAAAAATTTCAAAAGGCTATTTCGTAATTTGATTCTGTAAACCACATTTTAAATGGATTCTATTCTATCCAAAAAAATACATTAAATAATCATAGAATCAATTTAAGTAAAAGGAGAAATTTTGATTAGCTATTAAGAAAACAAATTAAATTATAATATGAGCTTTGACATATTGGAATGTGTTTTCTGGGTTATGCATTATCCTTTTCTGAAGGTAAGAAAGTAGTAAGTAATGACATAGATTTTTTATTTTCAGGAGATAAAAGATTGGAAAGAATAATTTTCAAAGACACTTCTAATAATACAATTCTGTAAACCTTCTAGATTTCCATATTACTTTGTGGAAATATGTTCTGCTTTGATTTTTCTACTTGCAAATACTGAATGGCAGTATTAGAACTGTGAGGATTAATTCACAGTGATATAATGTGGCACAAAAATAGGAGTATTAGACTTATGTATTCATTTAAATTTTTCATAATGAAATATTTGATTTGTGGACCTGACTTTTTCCTCCTGAAAATAACTATATTCATTCTTGTTTAGAGAAAAAGTTTCAATATAGAATTCATTTATAATATTAATTAGAACACCATCTACTACGTTAGACTGCAGTTATGGATCTGTTACTAGGTCTATTGTACACTGGTTTTCAGATAGAATATAATTATTTTCTTACTTGACATAACATTTAGAATGAAATATCTATAAGGAAACATATTTAACAATTTTAGTTTAAGTATTGAAGAAAGAATATATTTTGTAGTTATGATATTAAAGTAAGGTTTACTGCTATGACCCAAGTAATAGAAATAACATTTTATGAAAACACTAGACCTTATTGTAATATTATTTTTTACTATTATCTGATATTGTCTAATATTTATCACTATGACCTATAGGGTCATTGTTGGGTTATTTTCCCCAAAACTCTACCTAATAAGTACCTGCCCATTAAGACATTGAAGGAAAAAAATATCCACAGTACAAATTAAGAAAACAACAAGCAGAGATTCAGTTGTTCACCAAGAAAGGGCCAAATTTGCTCAGTGTTTGTTAGGAAAGTCTTCTCTCCTTATCAAAATATTCTTGTAAATATCAATAGTTATTATGTTAATATGTATTAGCAGTAGAATGTAAGATATATAGCAGCAGGAATTTAAGAACTTAAATTATTACTGCAACACTCTGTGTGCAGAATGGTGACTGGCACAAAGTAGGCACTCAAAAAATATTTTAAAGTAAAAGAATGGATAATTGCTTAAGTCTATTAAGTCTCCTTTTTCTTTGACATTTATGAACATATAGAAACACTCTATTAAACATTGGAAATAAAGATGAATAAAATGTTAGGCATAACCTCAAAAAACCCTCAGTCTATTAGGAGAGATAGAAAAGAACAGATAATAAAACTGAAATATGGCAAGTATACTGATTGAGATTTTCACAAAATTCTATGTAAACGCATTGAACACATCCTGGAAGAACTACAGGGAGAGGGATGGGAGTCAGGAAATGTTTCTTGAAAGAAATTAGTATTAAATGATGAAAAACAGCCAGATAAGAATCAAAGAAAATACCTCAGACAGAGGGAAGCATGAAGATGAGAAAAAAAACGGTGTGTTCAAAAATGACGAGTTCCACATGGCTGTGGATTAGATGAAAGGCAGAGTTAGAAAGGAAGACAGGGGCCAGATTATAGGAGGTTTTTTTTTTTTTCTTATAGGTAATGAGGAGTCTTTAAGAGTCGTAAGTAGGAGATGATAGGTTTTTATAGTAGATAATTGCTCTGGCAACTATGTAGAAGATAGATTAGACAGAAGGTGGAATGGTGTTCTAGGAGTCAAGGAGAAAATTGATAAGGGCTTGAACTAATACAGTAGCATCTGCAAGGAAAGGAGCATCTGATTTACACAATGCTTAGGACAGCAATTCTCAATCTCTGGAGTCTATTAGAACCATGTGGGAGCCTGTTTCAATCTACCCAGGGCTTTCCACTCCCTCTAAAGGTTTTGGCAAAGAAGCGCATTCCCCATTTCCAATGAGAGTCACTAACATTGTAACCCATTATGATATCTATAAGCATGACATAGCCCTCAGGTGTTTGGGGAAGAAAAAGCTAAGAAGAATATCACCCGGACTTGGTTATTAGATAATCACATAAAGGAGTGAGTGATGGGGAAACAGGAACCCACGATTATTGTATGAACTAGATGGACGGTGAAGCTATCGACTGAGATGGGGAGGAAGGTGCAGAGAAGGAGCAAGTTTGAAGTCTGAGATGCCTGCAAACAACTACGTGGAAAGGTCAATAGGAATTAGAAATACAAGTCAGACTTGGAGAAAAATTCTGAGCTAGAGATTTGAAGTCATCAGAATATAGATGATGGATAAAATGCAAGTAAGGAAATCGCTTATAGATCAAGAAGAAATAGAGGGTCAAAATAGAACCTGGAGAGTCCTCCTGAGGGAGTGGGCAAAGAGGAACTCAAGAAGATAACAGAGAAGAAACCACCAAAAAGTAAACTTTTCTGTCAAAAAAAAAAAAAAAAAAAAAACCAAGAGAATGCTATTCAGAAACACCCAAGTAGAGAGAGTTTTGGAAAAAAGGTGGTGATCAAGTGTGAACTGGGGTAGAAAAGTCCAATAAGATCAGGTCTTGGGCCCTCTGGCTTTTGGTAGTAAGCTGGTCTTACTGAGCTTTGCCAGATGTTCCATGAAGATAGGCAGGTAGAAGACAAGTTAGATCAAACTGAGGAGTGAGTAGGAATTGAGGGAATGACTATAGTGAAAAGAAACTACTCTTTGAATAAATTATAATATATTAATTCTTTCTGGCTGCCTTGTGTCATTACTCACCAAAAAGAATGTGTCCTTATCATTCTTTTAAATAAAAAAGAAATGCACAGTCACATAAATTTACCCTAATTGTGAAACCAGGAAATACATACTGCTATGTCCCTATTTTCAATGCAAAAATTTTAATACCACCTAAAACTCCACCTAGATTAGAAGCAAATATACTAGACTCAAACCAAATTCCCTTGATCCTTCTGAATGTGCTGTCAACCTTCAACCCAAGTGAGGACAGCTTGAGGACAGCTTAAGTCAAAATGGGGACTGGTTCCTCCCAAACAATTGAAGCTTCACTTAAATGGAGCTTTTTTTTTCTTAATCTTATTCTCTAAACTCCAAATTTAATCTGCCACACACATCTACTTATTAAGTCATAAAGTCATAAAGCATGAGAGGCAAAAATAGAATAAAGTTATATAAAACAGAAATTTGGGTTTTTTTCCCCCAAAGCCACAGACTTCAGACCTGACTCAATAAAATGTATTGAGAGGAACTCACATGTGGTAGCTCTCTGACAGATCCATATATAGAGAACATAAGCTTGTTGGTCACATTCACTGTACAGACTATACGCAGCCTAGAGTCTGAGACACAGTTAATGTAATCAACAAGCACATAGTCTCACATATACGGCATAAGCATCTTGGTATTCATTTATCCATTCATTCAACAAATATTACTACATGCTTAGTATTGTGCCAGGCAGAAGCCCTGGTGGTAGGGATACAGCTTACAGTTAGCATAAAGGGCACATGATTTAAAATAATAATAGGCCAGGCACGGTGGCTCACATCTGTAATCCTAGCACTTTGGGAAGCCAAGGCGGGTGGATCACCTGAGGTCAGGAGTTCGAGACCAGCCTGGCCAACATGGTGAAACCCTGTCTCTACTAAAAATACAAAAAATTAGTCAGGTGTGGTGGCACGTGCCTGTAGTCCCAGCTACTGGGGAGGCTAAGGCATGAGAATCGCTTAAGCCTGGGAGGCGGAGGTTGCAGTGAGCCGAGATCATGACATTGCACTCCATGCTGGGCAAAAAGAGCAAAACTCTGTCTCAAAATAATAATAATAATAATCTTAAAGACCAATACATGCTATAATTGAAGAAAGAGCAAGAGCTCCTACCCAAATGTGGAAAATTGGGAGGGATTAGTCAGGAAATGCATCCTGAGGAAGTAATACTCAAACTGTAGTCTGTAGTACACACGTGAGTTAGTCAAATGAAGAGGAGAAGGAAGAATGTCCCATTGCTTGGAACATTTCAGGAACTGAAAAGGTTGATTTGCCTGGAGTCTGGTGTGAATGGAAAACTGGCAAGGCACCAACTAGAGAGATGGGTAGTTAGGGTGTAGATAATGTAAGCCATGTGTGGCGGGCAGCCGCTGAGAAGGCCTCAGTGACCCCCAGCTGGTGCAGTCGTCAGCCCTTGCATGTGGATCACGGCCTCCCCTCTAACAAACAGTATACAGCAAAACTGTTAGGATTTCACTTCCAAGATTTAGGGCTTCTGTCTCAGGTGCCCTCACTCTTCCATGGATCTCTCACTCTGGGGGAAGCCAACTGCCACATCCTCCTTTGAAGAGGCCCACATGTTCTTTGAGCCGACATGAGTAAGCTTCGAAGCAGATTTTCCCTTGAGATGACTGCAGCCCTGGTTGACACCTTGATTGCAGCTTTGTGACAGACCCGGAGTCAGAACACCCATTCCTAGACACCTGACCCACAGAAACTGTGAGGTAATAAATGTGAGTTGTTTCCAGTCACTGAGCTTTGGGGTAATTTGTTAAAACAGCAATAGATTGCTAATACACCATGTTAAAGAACTGGGTCGAGCATTAACCTAAAAGAATGAGAATTTGCTGAAGAGTTTTAAGCAGAAAGAAAGATGAAATGTTCCTATTTGCAATTTTAGACATTGAGTAACACTCTCACATTAAGCTTGAAATAAAAATCTGGAACTATCCATGAAAATAAAAACTTAAGCAAACAACACTTTCTGCTACAAAATTCTAGTTCTAAAGTTCAATATCCTGTATAAAACTTGTACCTCACTCCTCAAATTAATCAGTCAACAATCAATCTAATTAACTTTTTAAACACTGTAGACGCTCCCCTCTCCACTTGAGATCCACTGGACCACTGCCTTAGTTGAGGCCTCTATCATCTCCAACCTGGACCACTGGCAACAACCCCCTAATCATTTCCCCACCTAGAGTCTGGTGTCCTTCCCATCCACCCCAAACTGTACTAAGATTATCCTCATAAAAGCAGAAGCTAAGTATCATATATCCCATTAGATTATAGAAAACAATATAAGCTGCTATACAAATCACATATTTATTTCCATGACATGGCTCCTATTTATTCTCCATCATCTCCCAAATCACAATTTTGACTGGGTACAGGAACCCAAATTTAGTAGGATCTCAAAAAACATCTGTGGAGTGGTTGGTATAATTCCTCATCAGGTTAAAGGAATCTGAACTTATTAACCAATGAGTAAAGTATCCTACATGCATCTGAAAGAAGAAGGCATGAAGTTGAAGCATGTTTGGTTATTATCACCCCTTTCAAATACATGCTCTAATTTAGAGAAATTAAGGAAGTAGGGAGAAAACAGAAATTTCATTTTATATATATATGTGTGTGTGTGTGTGTGTGTGTGTGTGTGTTGGGATACATGTGCAGAACATGCAGGTTTGCTACATAGGTATACACGTACCATGGTGGTTTGCTGCACCCATCAACCCGTCATCTACATTAGGTATTTCTCCTACTGCTATCCCTCCCTTTGCTCCCATCCCCCTGACAGACCCTGGTGTGTGATGTTCCTCTCCCTGTGTCCATGTGTTTTCATTGTTCAACTCCCACTTATGAATGAGAACACTTGGTGTTTGGTTTTTTGTTCCTGTGTTAGTTTGCTGAGAATGATGGTTCCCAGCTTCATCCATGTCCCTGCAAATGACATGAACTCATCCTTTTTCATCACTGCATAGTATTCCATGGCGTATATGTGCCACATTTTCTTTATCCAGTCTATCATTGATGGGCATATGGGTTGGTTCCAAGTCTTTGCTATTGTGAATAGTGCCGCAATAAACATACATGTGCATGTGTCTTTATAGTAGAATGAGTAATAATCCTTTGGGTATATACCCAGTAATGGGGTTGCTGAGTCAAATGGTATTTCTGGTTCTAGATCCTTGAGGAATTGCCACACTGTCTTCCACAATGGTTGAACTAATTTACACTCCCACCAACAGTGTAAAAGCATTCCTATTTCTCCACATCCTCTCCAGCATCTGTTGTTTCCTGACTTTTTTGGTTGTTGTTGTTTTTTGTTTTTGTTTTTGTTTTTTGTTTTTTGTTTTTTGTTTTTTTTGAGACAGAGTCTTGCTCTGTTGCCCAGGCTGAAGGTGCAGTGGCACGATCTCAGCTCAGGCAAGCTCCACATCCTGGGTTCACGCCATTCTCCTGCCTCAGCCTCCCGAGTAGCTGGGACTACAGGCACCCACCACCACGCCTGGCTAATTTTTTGTATTTTTAGTAGAGACGGGGTTTCACCCTGTTAGCCAGGATGGTCTTGATCTCCTGACCTTGTGATCCGCCCACCTCGGCCTCCCAAAGTGCTGGGATTACACGCATGAGCCACCACACCCAGCCTTTTCTAACTGGCGTGAGATGGTATCTCATTGTGGTTTTGATTTGCATTTCTCTAATGACCAGTGATGATGAGCTTTTTTTCATATGTCTGTTGGCCGCATTAAAAAGAAGACATTTGTCTTCTTTTGAGAAGTGTCTGTTCATATCCTTTGCCCACTTTTTGAAGGGGTTGTTTTTTCCTTGTAAATTTGTTTAAGTTCCTTGTAGATTCTGGATATTAGCCCTTTGTCAGATGGATAGAATGCAAAAATTTTCTTCCATTCTGTTGGTTCCCTGTTCACTCTGATGATAGCTTCTTTTGCTGTGCAGAAGCTCTTTAGTTTAATTAGATCTCATTTGCCCATTTTGGTTCTTGTTGCTATTGCTTTTGGTGTTTTAGTCATGAAGTCTTTGCCCATGCCTATGTCCTGAATGGTATTGCCTAGGTTTTCTTCAAGGGTTTTTATGGTTTTTACATTTAAGTCTTTAATCCATCTTGAGTTAATTTTTGTATGAAGTGTAAGGAAGAAGTCCAGCTTCAGTTTTCTGCATATGGCTAGCCAGTTTTCTCAACACCATTTATTAAATATGGAATCTTTTCCCTGTTGCTTGTTTTTGTCAGGTTTCTCAAAGATCAGATGGTTGTAGATGTGTGGCGTTATTTCCTTCCCCCACCTTTTATTAGTTTTTTTTAATTATTATTATACTTTAAGTTTTAGGGTACATGTGCACAATGTGTAGGTTAGTTACATATGTATACATGTGCCATGTTGGTGTGCTGCATCCATTAACTCGTCATTTAACATTAAGTATATCTCCTAATGCTATCCCACCCCCTCCCCCCGACCCCACAACAGGCCCCGGTGTGTGATGTTCCCCTTCCTGTGTCCATGTGTTCTCATTGTTCAATTCCCACCTATGAGTGAGAACATATGGTGTTTGGTTTTTTGTCCTTGTGATAGTTTGCCGAGAATGATGGTTTCCAGCTTCATCGATGTCCCTACAAAGACATGAACTCATCATTTTTTATGGTTGCATAGTATTCCATGGTGTATATGTGCCACATTTTCTTAATCCAGTCTATCATTGTTGGACATTTGGGTTGGTTCCAAGTCTTTGCTATTGTGAATAGTGCTGCAATAAACATATGTGTGCATGTGTCTTTATAGCAGCATGATTTATAATCCTTTGGGTATATACCCAGTAATGGGATGGCTGGGTCAAATGGTATTTCTAGTTCTAGATCCCTGAGGAATTGTGTGTGGTGTTATTTCTAAGGCCTTTGTTCTGTTCCGCTGGTCTATGTATCTGTTTTGGTACCAGTACCATGCTATTTTGGTTACTGTAGCCTTGTAGTATAGTTTGAAGTCAGGTAGTGTGATGCCTCCAGCTTTGTTCTTTTGGCTTAGGATTGTCTTGGCTATACAGGCTCTTTTTTGGTTCCATATGAAATTTAAAGTAGTTTTTTTTCTAATTCTGTGAAGAAAGTCAATGGTAGCTTGATGGGGATAGCATTGAATCTATAAATCACTTTGGGCAGTATGGCCATTTTCATGATATTGATTCTTCCTATCCATGAGCATGGAATGTTTTTCCATTTGTTTGTGTCCTCTCTTATTTCCTTGAGCAGTGGTTTGTAGTTCTCCTTGAAGAGGTACTTCACATCCCTTGTAAGTTGGATTCCTAGGTATTTTATTCTCTTTGCAGCAATTGTGAATGGGAGTTCACTCTTGATTTGGCTCTCTGTTTGCCTATTATTGGTGTATAGGAATGCTTGTGACTTTTGCACACTGACTTTGTATCCTGAGACTTTGCTGACGTTGCTTATCAGCATAAAGAGATTTGGGGCTGAGATGACGGGGTTTTCTAAATATGCAATCGTGTCATCTGCAAACAGAGACAATTTGACTTCCTCTCCTCCTATGTGAATACCCTTTATTTCTTTCTCTTGCCTGAGTACCCTGGCCAGTACTTCCAATACTATGTTGAATAGGAGTGGTGAGAGAGGACATCCTTATCTTGTGCCAGTTTTCAAAGGGAATGCTTCCAGCTTTTGCCCATTCAGTATGATATTGGCTGTGGGTTTCTCATAAATAGCTCTAATTATTTTGAGATATGTTCCATCAATACCTAGTTTATTGAGAGTTTTTAGCATGCAGGGTGTTGAATTTTATTGAAGGCGTTTTCTGCATCTATTGAGAAAATTATGTGGTTTTGGTCATTGGTTCTGTTTATGTGATGAATTATGTTTATTGATTTGCATATGCTGAAACAGACTTGCATCCCAGAAATGAAGCCGACTTGATCGTGGTGGATAAGCTTTTTGATGTGCTGCTGGGTTCAGTTTGCCAGTATTTTATTGAAGATTTTCACATCGATGTTCATCAGGGATACTGGCCAGAAATTTCCTTTTTTTGTGTGTGTCTCTGCCAGGTTTTGGTATCAGGATGATGCTGGCATCATAGAATTAGTTAGGGGAGATTCCTTCTTTTTCTGTTGTTTAGAATAGCTTCAGAAGGAATGGTACCAGCTCCTCTTTGTACCTCTGGTAGAATTTGGCTGTGAATCTATCTGGTCCTGGACTTCTTTTGGTTGGTAGGCTATTAATTACTGCTTCAATTTCAGAACTTCTATTGGTCTATTCAGGGATTCGACTTCTTCCTGGTTTAGTCTTGGAAGGGTGTATGTGTCCAGGAATTTATCCATTTCTTCTAGATTTTCTAGTTTATTTGCATAGAGGTGTTTATAGTATTCTCTGACGGTTGTTTGTATTTCTTGGAATCTGTGATGATACCTAATTATCATTTTTTATTGTTTCTATTTGATTCTTCTATCTTTTCTTCTTTATTAGTCTGGCTAGTGGTCTATCTGTTAATCTTTTCAAAACACCAGTTCCTGGATTAACTGATTTTTTGAAGAGTTTTCCATGTCTCTATCTACTTCAGTTCTGCTCTGATCTTAGTTATTTCTTGTCTTCTGCTAGCTTTTGAATTTATTTGCTCTTGCTTCTCTAGTTCCTTTCATTGTGATGTCAGGGTGTCGATTTTAGATCTTTCCCACTTTCTCCTGTGGGCATTTAGTGCTATCAGTTTCCCTCTAAACACTGCTTTAGCTGTGTCCCAGAGATTCTGGTACATTGTTTCTTTGTTCTCATTGGTTTCAAAGAATTTATTTATTTCTGCCTTAATTTCGTTATTTACCCAGTAGTCATTCAGGAGCAGGTTGTTCAGTTTCCATGTAGTTGTGCAGTTTTGAGTGAGTTTCTTAATCCTGAGTTCTAATTTGATTGCAGTCTGAGAGACTGCTATGATATCCATTTTTTGCATTTGCTGAGGAGTGTTTTACTTCCAATTATGTGGTCAGTTTTAGAATAAGTGCGATGTAGTGCTGAGAAGAATGTATATTCTGTTGATTTGGGGTGGAGAGTTCTGTAGATGTCTATTAGGTCTGCTTGGTCCAGAGCTGAGTTCAAGTCCTGAATATCCTTGTTAATTTTCTGTCTCGTTAATCTAATATTGACAGTGGGGTGTTAAAGTCTCCCACTATTATTGTGTGGGAGTCTAAGTCTCTTTGTAGTCTCTAAGAACTTACTTTATGACTCTCGGTGCTCCCGTATTGGGTGCATATATATTTAGGTTAGCTTTGTGTTGCATTGATCCCTTTACCATTATGTAATGGCCTTCTTTGTCTTTTTTTGATCTTTGTTGGCTTAAAGTCTGTTTTATCAGACACTAGGATTGCAATCCCTGCTTTTTTTTTGCTTTCCATTTTCTTGGTAAATCTTCCTCCATCCCTTTATTTTGAGCCTATGTGTGTCTTTGCAAATGAGATGGGTCTCCTGAATACAGCACACTGATGGGTCTTGACTCTTTATCCAATTTGCCAGTCTGTGTCTTTTCATTGGGGCATATAGCCCATTTACATTTAAAGTTAATATTGTTATATGTGAATTTCTTACTGTCATTATGATGCTAGCTGATTATTTTGCCCATTAGTTGATGCAGTTTCTTCATAGTGTCAATGGTCTTTACAATTTGGCATGTTTTTGCAGTGGCTGGTACTGGTTTTCCCTTTCCATATTTAGGGCCTCCTTCAGGAACTCTTGTAAGGCAAGCCTGGTAGTGTCAAAATCTCAGCATTTGCTTGTCTATCAAGGATTTATTTCTCTTTGCTTATGAAGCTTAGTTTGGCTGGATATGAAATTCTGGGTTGAAAATTCTTTTGTTTAAGAATGTTGAATATTGGCCTCCACTCTCTTCTGGCTCGCAGGGTTTCTGCAGAGTGATCTGCTGTTAGTCTGATGGGCTTCCCTTTGTGGGTAACCTGACCTTTCTTTCTGGCTGCCCTTAACGTTTTTTCCTTCATTTTAACCTTGTTGAATCTGATAATTATGTGTCTTGGGGTTGATCTTCTCGAGGAGTATCTTTGTGGTGTTCTCTGTATTTCCTGAATTTGAATGTTGGCATGTCTTGCTAGGTTGGGGAAGTTCTCCTGGATAATATCCTAAAGAGTGTCTTCCAACTTGATTCCATTCTCCCCGTCACTTTCAGGTACACCAATCAAACATAGGTTTGGTCTTTTCACATAGTCCCATATTTTTGGAGGCTTTCTTCGTTCCTTTCCATTCTTTTTTCTCTAATCTTGTCTTCACACTTTATTTCACTAAGCTAATCTTCAATCTCTGATATCCTTTCTTCCACTTGATCAATTCAGCTATTGATACTTGTGTATGCTTCACAAAGTTCTTGTGCTGTGTTTTTCAGCTCTATCAGGTCATTTAAACTGGTTATTCCAGTTAGCAATTCCTCTAACCCTTTTTCAAGGTTCTTAGCTTCCTTGCATTGGGTTACAGCATGCTCCTTTAGCTCGGAGGAGTTTACTATTGCCCACCTTCTGAAACCTACTTCTGGTCAATTCGTCAAACTCATTCTCTGTCCAGTTTTGTTCCCTTGCTGGCAAGGAGTTGTGATCCTTTAAAGAAGAGGCATTCTGGTTTCTGGAATTTTCAGCCTTTTTGAGCTGATTTTTCCTCATCTTCGTGGATTTATCTACCTTTGATCTTTCATGTTGGTGACCTTTAAATAGAGTTTTTGAGGGGATGTCCTTTTTGTTGATGTTGATGGTATTCTTTTCTGTTCCTTAGTTTTCCTTCTAACAGTCAGGCCCCTCTGCTGCAGGTCTGCTGGAGTTTGCTAGAGGTCCATTCCCAACCCTGTTTGCCCTAGTATCACCAGCGGAGGCTGCAGAACAGCAAAGATTGCTGCCTGTTCCTTCTTCTGGAAGCTTCGTCCCAGAGGGGCACCTGCTAGATGCCAGCTGGAGCTCTCCTGTATGATTTGTCTGTTGACCCCTGCTAGGAGATGTCTCCCAGTTAGGAGGCATGGGTGTCAAGGACCCACTTGAGGAGGCAGTCTGTCCCTTAGCAGAGCTCAAGCACTGTGCTGGGAGATCTGCTGCTCTCTTCACAGTCAGCAGGGAAGAACGCTTAAGTCTGCTGAAGTTGCGCCCACAGCCGCCCCTTCCCCCAGGTGTTCTGTGCAAGGAAGATGGGAGTTTCATCTATAAGCCCCTGACTAGGGCTGCTGCCTTTCTTTCAGAGATACCCTGCCCAAGAAATTTCATTCTTTTTGTTCAGTGAAGCCAAATATACTTGGGGAAAAACTTCAGACTCACATCTCATCAGAAAAGTATTCCATTTACCAACTTAACACCTCTGCGTAGCACTTCACAGTAATGTCTAAGTCCATGGCCCACTCAGGGAGACACAATTGTGTAAGTATTCAGAAACAAGGCAAGATTAGTACCTCAGGAGCCGTTAGCATTTCCAAAAGCATTATACAAATTGTTCCTATGTGAGACATTTATTTGTAAAAAGGAAACTAGTAATTAATTCAGTCATTTCAACTGCACAATTGTTTCAGGTAATATTGATGTCATAAAATCCTTTAGCCAAGAAACAAACTGTTAAGTGACTATGGAAAGTTCCAATAATCAAGAAAGGAAAGATGTCTAACTCCTATAAAATCCAGTGACTCTATGTATGAAATGAAAGTAAGCAAAATTTTTCAACTAAAACCTCAGCTTTTTTTTTTTTTTTTTTTGAGACGGAGTCTCACTCTGTTGCCCAGGCTGGAGTGCAGTGGCGCAATCTGGGCTCCTGCAAGCTCTGCCTCCTGGGTTCACGCCATTCTCCTGCCTCAGCCTCCCGAGTAGCTGGGACTACAGGCGCCCGCCACCAAGCCCAGCTAATTTATTGTATTTTTAGTAGAGACGGGGTTTCACTGTGTTAGCCAGGATGGTCTTGATCTCCTGACCTCGTGATCTGCCCGCCTCGGTCTCCCAAAGTGCTAGGATTACAGGCATGAGCCACCGTGCCCGGCCAAACCTCAGCTTTTACCTAAATGATATAGCCACATTCTGTGAAGTTCAATGAAAACTTACACATACTGTAATTATTCATCCTTAAAATTGCCTTTCATTGAGCAAAACTAATTCTTTATTTCATTCCTTTTATAATTTTTGACAAGGTCAAATACTAAAGTTCAGTGTTACCATTAAGAGAGAAAGCACAGCCTTGGAGCAATGGCTCACGCCTGCAATCCCAACACTTTGGGAGGCTGAGGTGGGTGAATCACCTGAGGTCAGGAGTTTTGAAACCAGCCTGGAAAACATGGTGAAACCCCATCTCTACTAAAAATACAAAAAATTAGCCAGGCATGGTGGTGGGTGCCTCTAATCCCAGCTACTCAGGAGGCTGAAGCAGGAGAATCACTTGAACCCGGGAGATGGAGGTTGCAGTGAGCCAAGATCGCACCATTGCACTCTAGCCTGGGCAACAAGAGCTAAATTCCATCTCAAAAAAATAAAATAAATAAAAAAAAGAGAGAAAGTATAAAATACTCATCTTTACCACTTGGATATATCTCCAAATATCCAAATATTTTATATTATCTCCATGCTACAGTAATATTAATTAATGTGTAAGGTAATTGTGCAAATTGAAGCCTATTTCTTTCTAATTTAAATGTGTAAATCAAAATTAATGTGAACTTAATTTCTGTAACTTAATATAAACAATCAAATAAATTCTTCATTAACATTTTGAAATACTAGTATCAAAAGAAATATTCATCTTGCTGTAAATTCAGTTTGGAATGACTTTTTAAACGGTTTTGAGGATTTTTTTAAAATCAGAATTAGAATAACCATGATTAAGAAGTAACTGTTAAGTAAAAATGTATTTTCTAACATTTTGAGACGCTCTCATTAAGTACTAACACCCCTCATAATTACTATTTAATAAGAAAAGTCTATTTACATCTTATTTGCAATTTCCACTTCACTTAGATGGTTCAGAATCATAAAAGCATCCTGGAGAAAGATTTAAAAATCATTATATGACAATGTTTAATAGAAAGTGATGGCTTAAATGTTACAATATGTTTCTTGAATATCTTCACATTAAATAGTAATTGAACAAAAAGCCCCCTGGTTCTGCTTAAGGGCAAGTCCCACAAAGCTCTTCATTATTGGAATTTCCAACTTGGAAGCCAAACTAAATAATAAGGAGTAATTTGCCAATTAGAACTTCCTGCTCTTTTCTCTTTATTCTTTAAACACCATTCAGGGGCTGAAATGGTCAAACACTTTTAGCTTCAAAACAGCAACTGAAAGGATTTAATTTGTGTCTCTCCAAGGTGAACCTGTCAAGAGGCAGTGGTGATGCATTCCATGTCCCCCAGCAGCAATTTCCCTTAAAGAGAAGTGTGTTTCCACTCTTGCAGAATATGAAGTTTCCTTTCCTCATTTCCCATTATTTATTTCAATTAATGACCTCCAAATTTTACACTTGGATAACTACTGGGCTTAAGAATGTTGCATCAGTGTGTTCCTGGATTCTGCAAACATCTTCGGACCAAATCTGTGTATGTGTGTGTACACACAGTGGAAATAAACATTTCATAGCTACCTGACACAAAGTGGAACGAGGACCATCAAAACCGTGTAAAACCCAAAAAAAACAAAACTGTGTGGACCTAGGGAGGATCAAAGTATTCTCTATGAGAGGAGGCTTTGGCAAGAGAAGGGGTAAAATCGCCAGCAGTTAAAGACCGTTGGCAACATTTGCATTTCTCACCTGTATTTCCCTAATTGTAACCTGAGTTTGCTTCTCAGCTTGTTATTCAATTTAAAATTCCCAATGATTAACACAATTTAAATGCAGGCTTCTAAATTGCAAACACATTTACAGATTAACACTAAATCAGTGAAATCTGTTCCTCCCTTCTAACCCAAGGAAACAGGAAAGAGTCTCTGGGCTTCCCCATCAACCACCCACCAGCACTAAAAAAGGAGGCTTCACTTTGCTCACCATGAGCCTGTGCACAACCCTAAGGGAATCGCTCACTCCTCTGAACCCTAGGACAGAAGAATTAGTTAAGGAGAAACTGCTTTTCAAATATTTACTTTCAAAAAGTATTTGTAATCAGGTTTTTTAAAAATTCATTTTATTCTGGGTCTATACTGATAATCCATTGAAAATGTATTAGAGCTGGGCATGGTGGTTCACGTCTGTAATCCCAGCACTTTGGGAGGCCAGGGAGGGCAGATCACTTGAGGTCAGGAGTTCGAGACCAGCCTGGCCAATGTGGTGAAACCCTGTCTCTAGTCAAAATACAAAAATTAGCTGGATGTGGTGGCACACACCTGTAGTCCCGGCTACTCAGGAGGCTGAGGCACAAGAATCGCTTGAACCCAGGAGATGGAGTTTGCAGTGAGCCAAGATTGTGCCACTGCACTCCAGCCTGGATGACACAGAAAGACTCTGTCTCAAAAAAAAAAAAAAAAAAGTACTGGAGTATTTCTATTTACATATTTAAAAATGAGAATGTATTGCCTGTATGAATGGAGTGCTTATAAGGTCAGCCAGGTTGAGAGAATAAATTGTTTTTACCATAGGAGATAGCAGAAGGTCAGGATCGCTGAGCTAAGAGTTCAGGAGAGAATAGTCCCTTTTAGACTGGTTGTTAGGGTAGGGTTCCCTCACTTTCTACACAGTTTTAAAAGGGCCCAGGGAGTGAAAACTAAAGTGAAAATAAATACTACACAGAGAAAGTACCAATAAGTATAAAGAACTTGAATTTCATTACTATTGTCTCTTTTTGTTCAGTGAGAATGTTTCAGTTCAAATAATTAGATCAACAGAAATTTATAGTCATAGCATCTAGAACTTTGGCAAATCTTAGTGACTAACTCTTAAACACTTGCCACACAACTTTCCAGATATAAAAAAATTGACATAAAATGAGATTTAATAACAATATTTTAAAAATAGGAACAGATGTCAATTTTACTTACACATAGTTTGCAATGAATTCCAAGGGTTACCTAACATGCACAAAGAATATATTGCCTGTTCTTACCTTTACAAAGGAACCTCAAGTCAATTTGTCCAAAACAAATATTCATTCTACCATCCCACCAGGTACCCAAATTAGAAACTGGAAACGCTCCCGTGGATGCCTGCTCATCCGTCACCACGTTTAGTCTCCTGAGTCTGTTTCCTGGTCTCCCTTCACACTGCCCTGCTCTATTCCAGGAGCTGATCACCTATCTCACTGCCACTAGTCTTGCTCAATTCCAATCCATCCTCCATACTGTTGCAATAATTCTATTTCTCATTTACAATTTTGACCCTGTCACTCTCTTGCTTTTCATGCTCTGGTGGCTCCTTATCGCCACCCTTCAGATGTTTCCATGGCCTTTCCCACTCTGGCTTTAACCTCCGGCCAGTTTCCCCTGCTGCCCCTCCTCCAGCCAGGTCTAACTGTGTAGCTGCCCAGCCTTCTCACCTTTCTCCAAATGTTCCTTCTCCATAGCTTGGCTAGTGCTTCTCACTGTTTTTGGAATCTTCTTCCTACCCACTTCCCTTCTCTTCTTTCTCCTCTCTCTATCTTGCAAATTTTCACACATCTTCCCTTCTTCCCTTTGAAGTCTTTCTTCAAAAACACAAGATAAGTCAACTGCTCTTCCACAAGTTTATCATCACAACATCCTTCAATTGTATTATCATACATGTCTCTTCCAGATATCCCTAATCTCAACTTTCACATACACCCGTAAATTATGAGCTGTATGTTGATTTTTGTAGCCTTATTTTCCAACAAAGCGTTTGTATTACAAGTAAGTACTCTATAAACATTTGTGGAGTCAAATCACTTTGCAATGAATTTGCGATTGCCAATGGACAATGACCATGAGTTATTTCGGAAACGGTTTCCTATTGGATCATTTGTCATGATTAAAGAAAAGTTGAAAAATATTAAATCATTTAATAACATTAAATTTTAGCAATTAAATATTGAAATATATAAAAACTACACTATTCTTCGACGTTCACCAATGAATTTTTTTTTAAGATGGGGGTCTTACTGTGTTGCCCAGGCTGGTTGGCATCAGTGAATATTTATTGAGCCTACTCAAATACATAACAGTGCTGTGTACTGAGGTGATTTTAAATAATAAAATATAACCTCTGCCCATGGGAATTTACAATCTAAAAATTTATGGCATCGGCTGCAGCCATAAGGATAATATATGTTATGTCACTGAGATGCGAGGTTGCGACATGTAAACGAGTCTACAAAACACAACAAATCAGACATCTCTATGGATGCTGAGTTGTGGTTACAGTGAAATATCTGGCACAGTGCTACTTGTATTTTATTTGCAGCTTCTTTCTTAAACAATTGGAATGTTTTAAATGGGTATTTTAAAATATGTATATATATATTATAGATATGAAAAATGATGTGAAGCATAAATAGCTAGTTGTTCTACAGGATTAGATGAATGATAATGTAGACATATATAAATGATCCAGAGGCCATTTCTAGGTTCACACCTAATTAAATTTTCTGGATTGGTAGTTTTTTGGAAATAATTTTATGTGTATGTATGTGTGTGTGTGTGTGTACCTGTGTGTATGTATGTGTATGTATGTGTGTATGTGTGGGTGTGTGTGTGTGTATGTATCTGTGTGTATGTGTATGTATGTGTGTATGTGTGAGTATGTATGCAGTGTGTATGTGTGTTTGTATGTCTGTATGTGTGTGTGTGTGAACATGTGATAGTCTGTATTGTCTCTAACTTATCTAACCTACTGTGAACAAACTGGTTGCTATTATTTTGAGACACAGAAAACAAATCAAATAGGCCATCAAATACTATGAATGATCACAGTCTGATCTCTTTTTCTATGATTTCTCTAAAAGCTGTCTAGCCCCAGTGTGATTCTTAAAAGGAGAATCTATTAGGTTTCTTAAGTTTCTAAGGTCGTTGGCAGTTCTCTCCTGTCTAGTTAATCAGGTAATGCCTCCTAAGGGTACTTCTGAGATGAGTGAAAACTGGGGTCATAATTTCTAAACTGTCAAGAAAATGGGAATTTATACATTGGATAAACCCCAGGGATGTTGCATAGCAAGAACTTTTATTTTAGTCTGGAGGTAAAAAGGCAAAATGTGGTGCCGAGATGTGGTGAAAAGTTTCTTGCAGCTATCTAATTTATTTTAACAGTGTGTTTCAAAAATAATTATCATTAATATAATCAGCAGAATATAAGATAGGAAAACTGTATGTAGAATTAAAGTGGGAAAAACAACTTTTTCTATGAGAATTAAACTTGACACTGGGACGTTTATGTCTAATGACAAATTTCAATGCTGGAAAATATTATATACACATTTATATTTTTTACAATTTTGCCATCAGGACAATAATTTTAGATGTCAAGATGATGTGTACACCAAATTATCACTGAATTTCATTTTAAAGAACCTGTTTACTCTTGAGATTATATTCCTTCATTTAAACTTTTAAAAAATAGATTATGTTCTCAATTCATTTCTTAACTTAGTATTTCCAAACTAATTAAGCTCTGCAAATGCAGGAGTAAATAATTACTACTGTATCTGTTTACATTTCTGTTTACCGGACTTTTATTTTGGTTAGTTGAAAATTAATTAGTTATAACCTGCAAAAAAGAGAAATTTGAGATGTTTTTAAAAGGTCTTCAACTGCGTAAAAGTAAATTCTAAAAATGCCACAGATATTAATGGTATTTATCACTTAGTAAAAAACAGTATATACATTGTGAATATATAAAATGCACCTAAATTGCATGCTTTAAAATGATTAATTTTATCTTATATGAATTTCCCCTCAAAAAAATGTATGGATGCTAAAAGAGACTGTTTCTATCCTGCTGCAAGTTACCTATAGATTAGCAAATGTTCCAATGTATGATGTCTTCCTAACTGGAGAACCTCCTCAGACTGCTGACCATTTGGTATCTCTTCTAAGACACACTAGACTTAGCATTCTCTTAACTCTCCCATAGTGATGTAATGGCATTAATCACAAAATAAGCACAGAACCTTATGACTATTCAATTTTCAGCATTAGTGTTTTATTAAAATTCCATGGGAGAAAAATGATCTATGTAAGGCATATATAATGCCAGTAACCTTATTTTTAAAAAAAATTCTTGATTTTCCTGAAAAACAAAATTTAAAGTCCAGTAGCAGCATTAAAAATTCTTTACTTTGTATCAACTGGTTATGGGAATCCCTCCAAGCTGTCCCTAGGAATCCTAGAAATATTGAAAGTAAAATTTCACACTGTCGGTACATACAAATCACCACTTTCTGACTTTTCAATTCTTCCAAAGCTGGCTATAAAAACAGTCTTCCATGCTGACTCTAAAAATAAAGGCTTCCATGTTTCTAAAGATTCTCTGAATATATGACCAACCTTTATCTGATCTGATTGCATCAGGCAATATAGGCCAAGAATAAAGAAATTGTTACTAACCAGTGAATAAAGCTAACTTAGCTTTCATAAAAAGGTATACATTACAATGAATCGTCTGTGCTTAGAGTTTTAAGCTGATTGCTAAACTTCTACTTAATTGGATGCCTGACTGGAGGTCAAGATCTAGTCCAATATTTCCTAATGATGTTCCTAGATGAAATGTATGTGTTTAGAAGTACAACTTCAATTCTTCAGATTATATGAACAGTTAATTTTCAACAGAAAGCATGACTTTTTAATAAAAAAAAAAAAAGTGGCATTTACCTTACACTAAAAGGGGAAGACAGACTCTTACTTTCAAGTGTATGTATTATGGAAAAAACAATCTCAATAATGAACCCCAAAGAAGATAAATAATCCTTAATATTTATTGTGATAAAATATCAATGGGACAAAATTTAACTTAGCAGAATACAGTAAGTGGAGTTCAAAAATTATACTTGAATTCTGATGGGTTTACATTACACAAACTCATTAGCATATATTTAATTATAGCTGCCTAAGCAAAATTCGGAAATAGCACCTAAGAGAAAGAAGGTACCCTACACTGTAAAGTATATAGAGCTATTCTGCACATTTTTCCCTAAAAATTATTCTCCCCTGATAATATTAAAAATACCAGTATTTCCACATTAGTGGTATTATACATTTAATTGTCATATAGTGAAGCAAAAGTTTACTTTAAATGGTACCTAATTATGGCATTTAAAAAACAAAACAGATAGCATTATTCACAAAAGCCAAAAGCTGAAAGCAACCTAAACACCCATGGGTGAATCAACAGAAAAACCAAATGTGGTATATACGTACAATGGAATGTAATTTGGCCTTAAAAAGGAAGGAATTTCTGACACATACTACAACACAGATGAAACTTAAAGACATACGGCTAAGTAAAATAAGCCAATCACAAAAAGACAAATATTGTATGATTCAATTTATATGAGGTACCTACAGTAGTAAAATTCATACAGACAGAAAGTAGAATGGTGGTTGCCAGGGGCAGGGAAAGGAATCGGGGGAGTACTGAGGGGTGGAAAATGGCGTTTAATGGGTACAGAGATTCAGCTGGGGAAGACGCAAAAATTCTGGAGATGGATGATGGTGATGGTTGCATGACAACCTGAATGTACCGCAAAACTATACATTTAAGTGGTTAAAGAGATATATGTTATATATCATGTATTAATATATTATACCACAATTTTAAAGATTTAAATTACTTTTAAGTGCTACAAAAGTACTCTGGGCCGGGCGCAGTGGCTCATGCCTGTAATCCCAGCACTTTGGGAGGCCGAGGTGGGTGGATCTCCTGAGGTCGGGAGTTCGAGACCAGCCTGACCAACATGGAGAAACCTCAACTCTACTAAAAATACAAAATTAGCTGGGCGTGGTAGCTCATGCCTGTAATCCCAGCTACTCGGGAGGCTGAGGCAGGAGAATCAAACCCGGGAGGCAGAGGTTGTGGTGAGCCAAGACCGCACCATTGCACTCCAGCCTGGGCAACAAGAGTGAAGCTCCATCTCAAAAAAAAAAAAAAAAAAGTACTCTGTATGTGCTTTTTTAATAACCAAAAAAGAAAGGAAAAAGAAGAGTAACAGCACTTGCACAGCTAGGTGCTAAACCAAAGGGAAATATTTCACAAGAGGGCTCTATTCCTTTTCATGATAATGCTGACGCCTCCAAAGAAGAGCCACATATTTTACCACTCATCTTCTCAATGAAACTTAGTGTCACCAACAACAACAAACGCCTTGATCGATTTTTGTGAAGATACATAATATTTGAATATACTAGAAAAGGGAGTTGGTACTGGTTCTGTAGAATTTATACATATTTATTTTTATCAACCAGTGATTACTCAACTAACACTGACTTTTATATGCTCAACATGGTTATGAGTTCTAGGGAACTTACCAAAAAATAAGATTTTTTATTAAGTGTCTTATTGTGTACCAAACACCACATATACTTTAGTTCAATTGCTGTATACTACAATCCCATAAGGTCAGTGTTACGCCCCTTTTCAGATGAGGAAGCTGAAGCTCCAGGACTAAGCAGCTTGCTGAGCAGCACACAGGGTTTGAGGGGGGTCTGCCTGACTGTACTACCAACACATGACCCTTGTCCCTGAGCAATTAGAAACCAATATACTTGAGCAAACAAAAGTTTAAAGTAGTAGCAACAAAATTAAAAAATAATCTATTTGCAAACTAGAAATAATTCAGGGACTTTTGACTATTGCTTTTATAGTAAATCAAATCTAGGCTAAACATCCTTTATGATTATCATCTTTATGATAACTCAAATCTAGGTTAAATATATTTTATGACTTTCATCTTTATAATCAATCAAATCTAGGTTAAATATATTTTATATTCTAAATAATGAGTAGCAATTAAAGGCTACCCAGGGAGATGATGGAATTTCTATGTATTAGAATCTTTAAGAATACAGAACAGACAAAAACAACCATCTGTCTTCTACAGTTTATGTACAGTGTTATCCAAGGTCATTTCTTGAAGTCCTCTGCCACTCAGGAGCTGTCTTAAAATCTCTCTTTCTCACACACAAACACACACATGCACAAAAACAAACTTTAGTTATTTCCAAAGCTCAAGGGAGGAGTGGATCGCTGAGAAGGTGGGTCTGAAAAAGTTAGGGACTGCATGGTGTGACTGTTGGGTCAGGTCTGTGGGGCACATACAGACTTGAAGATGTTGGCAGGACAGTTGTTCCTCTCCATAGCTGAGGCAGCTGCCTCATCAGCAAGAATATGAAGACACCGCCTAACACGAGTGAGTCAGAAAACATTCACAATCATCATCAATAAGCTTATGCAAATAAGAAATTGAAATCCTTGGTGGAAAACGAAAAAACATCTTCCCCAAGGAATTAAAATCCCATGCATGTCAGCTGAAGCAAATAATATGAAAGAAAGTCTTTCTCTTCTTTTAATTTAACTTCCCAACTCCTGAGATTTCAATCCGAAGCAATCCTTTCTATAATTAAGATACATTGTCTTCTTTCCTTAGTGGACAAGGGAGAAGGGCTTGGCAAATATATCTTTAGCTATTATAGCAAGGGGGAAAATGATCATATTACACCCTCCCTAGCTTCCCTCCTTCCCATTTTCCCCTCCCATATATTTGGATCTTTCTGACTACAAAGGAAGCTCTGATATCACTTAAAGTATTTCAATGTAAGGCAGGGATGATGTTAATAGTGTTAAGTATATTCATAAGATTAAATATTCCCTTTTTAAGCAACTCTGGTCAAGGGAGCATAAAGCTAACCAAACTTTACAGCACTTGAGGATAAGAGTTATTTGGCACTGTTGCTTCTACTATTCAGAAACAATTCCTCTCCTTCTTCTACAAGAACGCTACAGACCCAAGAAAGAGAAACAGACTTAAGTTGTCTGACCTCCTCTGTTATCCCCCAGGCTGTTGGGAAAAAGCAATACATACTTTGGTCTCCAATTTATCACTCCCACTTTTACAGTCATAAATTACTTCTTGGGCTTTAAAACAACAGGGTTTTTAAAGGACACCGTAAGGTACTTAAATTCCAGTAACTAAACTCAGATGTATGAGGCAATTTAAAATCTTTATAAAAGCTCCCTGTTTCAAAGCTACCCAAAATGGTATCCTAGAAAGCCTGTATAACAAAATGCTAGAGAGATAGGTTAAAAGTAACGCACTAAACATATCTCTTCAGAGGTCTTGCTACATAGAAAGTAATCAATGAATGAATGAATCTTAGATCATATCCTGTCATAGCTAATCAACTAATTTTTATTGCTATGATGTTCAAAATAAATTATCACAGACTAATCTATCATGCATTATCTTCATCCACGGACCAACAGAGCAATTCAGATGTCCAAAGTTCCGTTTTGTTCACTCACATAGAATGAATTTGGTTAAACCAGGCACCATTATGTAAGTAGGCCAGATATGATTCATAAACAAGAAAATTAGCCAATGCTTTTGGACAAACTGAATCATAGCAAACAAAAGGCAAAGCAAAGAGAACAAAGCAGAAGTAAGGTGCTTAAGGAAAAACCCTGTTTTTGGCACAGATCCATAAGAAAAACAAAAACTGTCTATTAGGTACACAGTCAGAGTAGGGCCATTTGTCAAAGGACTGTAGGAACAAACTCTAAGTGGCTGTCTTACATGTCTCAAGAGGCAGAACTGAGCTGATGCTGTCAACTGCCGGTGCTGTAGCTCCAACTGCAGGAGCTCTAATTTGACCTCCTGAGAAAGAATCCCAATTAGAACCACATAAAGGAAGCCATTTAGACATGGTGCTTTGGGACAAGTCTGACCCAGTGTGTCAATGTCAACTGAAACAAAAAACTAAAGGAACTTTCTCAAGCACGTTGTCTTTTCTAGATAAAAGCTAAAGACCTTTTAGACCCAGGTTTTGAAGCAGGCTTCCCTGGACTAAAATGAGAACAACTCAAATACCGAAAGCCGGCTTGATTTTTTTCCCCCAAAGCCTGCTGGTGTACTTTGTGAAAACAGAGGAGTATCATAACAAGCTATATGCCATATTCTAGCAAAATTAGCTAGTTAAAAATGTTTAATTCTTAGTGGTCAAACAGCAAGCTATGAAAGGTATTCATCTGTTAGTGATTTTAAATTTGGCTTCCCGTCTCAATTTGCCATCACTGCTGATTCCTTTTGGAATTGCCCCAAGTCTACACGATGTTGCTATTGCTACATCAACTACAAAGCAAACTCATATGTTGAGATATAAAAACTAAGGCCTGTTTGAAGATATAAGGGGGAAAGAGTATGGGAAAAAGGATAATTTAGGATTTCAACTATAAATCACAAAGATACAAGAAAATAGCATGAAACAAAGCAAAAATGCACTCTATTCCATCCAGTTTTTGTTTTCAGTGAACTGTAGATTGAAGGTTCTTATTTGCACTCCACAGAGTCATTTAATCCGTTAAGATTTTGCAAATGTACTTTTCTCTGTGTATAGGTACTGTACCTTTCATTACATTCTCAAAGATGTCTGTGATCCAACAAAACTCAAGAGCCACTTTTCTAGATTTATGTGAATTTGCAGGTGTATTCTAACTATCTATAATATCTAAAGCACCTCTTTCATTTTCAACCTCAGCTTGACAAAAGGAAAAGTATCACACCAAACAAGCGCACAAGACCCAGGGCAATGTCATACACCTACATTCAAATTTTTAACTGACAGTCAGTTGCCTTCCATGTAGCTCCTGAAATTGAACAACTTACAAGGCATTCCCAGGAAGAGCACAGTGACTGAAGGAAGAGAAGAACTGTGTCTTATGGATATTCTCAATTAACAAATAAATTGAAATAAAAGTTCACAAAATGAATTTTGACTCAACAAAAATTACTGTGATCTTTAAAATCTCGTATCTTCAAGATTGTCTCATTGAAAAATTTGAGTTAAGACAACTAAAACCCAAAGAACATATGCCAGTAAGATCTTAACCATTTTCAATTAACTCAGCATAGGAAATTCCCTGGTAGATGACCTCTTCAGTACAGTGTAGAGAGGCAAGTTGTTCCATAATTTAGTCAACAGAATAACTTTAGGTACTTCCTGTGGGGTTTCTCCAATATATTCACCTGTACTATTTCATAATTCCTCAAGGGAACCTCGAAGACAATATGTTCAATGTGTACAAAAAGAAACATGGTAATCATCTCTCCTGAAGAGAGATGATAATCACTTCTCTTAAGGAGAGATAGTAATACATTCAAAAGCATGTTAATACTCTTGCTAAAGCAAAATTTAAAGGTTGGCACAGTTTTATTTCATATTTATTTATAAATCACCAATCCTGTCTTACAAGGATTTTGATAGGTTATTGGTAACAAGACCACCATCTATATATAAAAAATACATCTTTTGCAAGTACAGCTCCCTGCTTATGCCCAGGGGAGCAGTCGCTGAAACGAGACTCTAGGCTATTGGCACCTAGCACGTGTCCATACAGCCGCTGCTGCAGAGCACAGCATGGGGCACTGTGCCATTCCCGGCGCTAAAGCACATGCAGGATCAAAGGCACGGGCATAACTGGCATGCCACCATCTACAGCTCTAGATGTGGAGCCAGCACTAAAGCCTGTGAATACTTCTATATAAAATTACATGGATGTTGACAAACCACCTGTTGAACTAAAGAAAAAAAAGTAAATTGTGCCCCTATAAGACCACTTTTCCCTGTATATTCCTGTAAAAAATTTTCTTTGAATTTTTTATACATATATTCTACTTTAAATGCTTTGCAGCATCCAGCCTATGGAGAGTTATGACAATTTAAATTAAAAAACAAAAAGAAAAAGAAAATTTTACACTTTAGTTTATCAAAATGCTTTAGGGTTGCAGGGGGATATCTTTGTTATAATGTTTACCAATCTGTGTGTCTTCCTGTGAATGCCAATGTTTTAAAGATAAAAAAAAAAAAGACTAAACATTTTCCCAACAATGCCTCCAACTCTCCCCAACTAAAACCCTTCTAGGAAATACTATTAAAAAGCTGTATTCTTCTATATAGTATATTATTTTATTCAGAACATGTTAAATATGCAGGCATAATGGTAGTAAAGCAAGGTGGAAATAAACATAAAAGGCAAATAAGATGTTTATTCACTTATGAAAAAACTATGAAGTATCTACAATATTCTAGGAGCAAATCTGGGCTCCAGGGATAAAAAGAAGACTAAGTCGTGGCCCTGCCCTCAAGACTATCCATAAAGGGGACAGAGATCATGGACAATTACTGGAATTAAACGTGATTCATGGATCTAGAGAGCTATGTACATGGTACTGTGCCTCAGTGATTTACAGGTTTTGCAGGGAACAAGCTTGAGACTTTTAAAGAAAATACCCTAAGTTATAAAGTTTTAACACTATTTTTTAAACAGTTACCTGCTTCAAAAACTCAAAAGGAAGAAATGGTTATGTGTTGAACACTTTCCTTGTAACACCTGTCCATGGTTACCTTGCTCTCATTTAAGCATCCAATGTTAACACAAGAGTCTCTTATAACACTCTAATATTGCTTCCCTGATTAATAAAGGCTTTGCCTGCCAATGACATTCTCATGAGTATATTGTATTTTATTATGTATTTACGTAGTATGTATTTTATTATGACTAAAAGCCACTCTGTAGTAAGTGGAGCAATCCATAAAAACAGACTTCCGATGTTACTATATATCAAGTAAAATTCTCTTTTTACTAATTAAACATGCTAAAAATTTTTTATAATGCTTCAAAGTAGAGAAGAAGATAAGAAACAGGAAACAAAATAGAAAATATAACATGCATTCTAGATGGAAAAAAGAAAATGGCAAGAATACCTTTAAAAATATGCTCCAGTACAAGGCTTTAATTAAATTTAAAATTACTGTCTCAGATAATTGAATAAATTACTTAAGTGGGTAACTGGGTTACGATCTAACCTAATGTTCACTATGCTTATAGTGGTGAGTGTGGTGACAATATTTTAAAGAAATAAAAAGGTAACGTATATGGGCAATTGTTACTTCTCTTCACTACTGGAGACACGTATAAGAATACACATGACAGGGAATCCTCTGCACCCCACGCTTTCCAGCACCACCCCTGTCCCACCATCCTTTGCTAGGTCTTTGCCTCCCCAGCACTGGCTCCCTCAGGATTTCTTCCAAATAACTGCAATGGCCAGGAGTTGAGTAATTTGATAGTACGAAGCATGGTTCACAATACAGAATGAATAAAAGGAAAAAGAAAGAGCTATGAAGAACATTAATCATGAAGAAAAATTTAAGGAAAAGGCTCCAATTTGAGGTATTCTAAACTCATAAGACAGGGTTCTAACTATGTGGCTAAAATAGTGGATTTGGAAAGTATTATCAACATTAGACCATTTCTAACATTTTGGAGGCAGAAGAGTGAAATCCACAGAAACAGAAGAAATATTCGTGAGCTAGCAGAGAGGGTCAAAAGTGTGAAAGTAAGCAAGCTTGTCAACATGATAAACAAACAGAACAATCTACATATAATATAGAGGCAATCCAAACAAAGATTGCTAGTGAGGTAGGAAATAAAATTGATTACCACAGTACAAATGACACAAAATAAGTATTTAAAATCATGTACCTTCAAAGAGGTCACAGTGTAAAATAACAAAAGTTTGTAATTGTGACAAAACCAGTTTCTCTTATAATAGGTAAATAGAAAAACCATAAAAGACACCATGCTTGGAAAGGAATAGTGTAATAAAGCTATGACCAAAGTTTAAACACCAGGGCCAAAATTTACATTGCTTTTTCTAATTTATATTCTATCATAGAAATTTATATTGCTTTTCTTAACTGAGAGTCAAGATATATCCATGAGTAAATAAAGGTCTGAGAAGAAACACAATCACTCCTTAAAGTTGAACATACGTGTAAAGTTGAAGAAAAGAACATCTCTTTTGTTCATTTTTAATGTCTGAATTAGCAAAATGAAAACAATCAAAAATTTTAAGTTATGTTTATAAATAGAGCAAACTATTAACAGAAAGTAAAATTGCCTTGGAAATTGGCCATACTTAACCCTAAGTAATAAACATTATTGCAAGTTTTTGTTTTTAAATTGAAGGTAAAGAAAAGCAGAGGAGATTTCTACTTATATTTTTATACCTAAGTTCGCCCTGCTTCAACCTGTCATGGATAAGCCACTACTACCTACAAGATGCCTTGGGAACGGGCTCTGTCCATCTGCACAATTTAGCATATTTGCACTAATTACTACAAGACTGGCCTATTGTTGGTCCTACAAACAGTCAGTGAGCCTGAGGTCAGCAGGAAGAGCTCTATGACCCACGCACTGACCCCAAGGGATGGCCAGTGACCTGCCGGCCTGACCTGTAAGTGAGGAAAGAACTAAAAATTCTCATCAGGATTCACTCTTTTTTTAAACTCAAAAACTAAAGTTTTTAAATGAGCATACCCTAAAATCCCTTTACCAACCTACATATTATGTAATTGGCTTATTTCCTTTTATTATAACAATACAGCATTTTATTTTTATAAATTTGAATATTGTTAGACTCTGTACATCTTATATAATCCATATATGAAATATTTATAATAATTTACATAGTATAACTCTTTTTCTAATTCTCTTTTGAGACAGGGTTCTCACTATGTTGTCCAGGTTAATTTCAAACTCCTGGCCTCAAGCGATCCTCCCACCTTTACCTCTCAAAATGCTGGGATTACACACATGGCCTCAACTATTTTATATGAATTTCAACTACATCATGATCTAGTTGGGGAACTAGAACCAGGGGAAATTTTGCACCCGGGAGATATTTGACAATCCCTGGAGACATTGATTCTTGCAACTAGAAGGTGGGACAGGCATCTGGTGGGTAAAAGTCAAGGATACTGCTAAATATTCTATAGTGTATGGGACAGCCACACAAAACAAAGAATTATCTGTTCTGAAATGTCAATAGTGCCAAGGTTGTTCTAGTTGATAGAAACCTGAATTAGTTCCTCTTACTGATTTGCCTTATAATCTAGTAAATCTGTTCTTTCTTTCTTATCCTTAAATATCTACATCAAGTAACATTATATTGTTATAATATAATTACCTGAATTGATTGTTTAAATATAAGCTTTCTGAACCCCTGAAGATGAATCTGAATTGTTAGGAAAGAGATAAGGGAATTTACATTGATATCCAGCACTGTACTCTTTCTGCTGCACTCTGAATTGTGGAAGCCAAATATCTTCTTTGTTTTATATAACAAAGTATTTGCTTTTTCCATGTTTAAACTCTGGAAGTTATATTGTATTTTCTTAAACAATTCAGAAAAACAAAAACAGATAACATTCCAGTTACTATATTAATACTTTAAAATTATACTGAAGATGGAAAAGACATTGGAGTTCATTTGTAAAACTTTCTTATAGGTGAGAAACAAGAGGAGAAGTGCCTGAGATTCCCGGACCAGTTAGTGACTTCACCAGGGACCGTGTGTTAACTAGAGTAAGGTATGAAGAAGTAGTTCACTCCAAATCTCAGGCAACAGGTAACATCTAGTGAATCATTCGGCAGCGCACTGAACTTTCCTGTGTGGTCTCTGCCAGCCATTCCAACATCATGTCCAATGCTCTGCATATGGGGCCAGGAAAGTAATGTAGTATCAAGAACATAGAAAAGAACATGAGGACATTTTTAAGATAATATAGAATTCAATTCAAATTAGTGTAATATGGTGCAGTTGACATAAATACAGGCAATTGAAGATATAACAGGGGAAATATATCAGGAAAGGCTTCCCGTAGAAGGTTTTGCATCAGATTTTTAAGGAAGAAGAGGAGAAAGATTGGCTAGAAAGAGGCATAGGGCATTTTTGGTACATGCAAAGGCCCAAAAATAGAAATTAGCAAATCAAAGTCAGAGAACTGCAAGTAGTTGTAAGTGACTGGAGCAGGCAGATCATACTGGAGAGTGCTCAGAAATTAATTTGTTAAGGTCAGCAGTCTAATGCAGAAGAGCGAAAAGAAGTGGTGAAATCATCCAAGTGCCAGGCTGTATAGATTCTCAAGACACCTGCAACTACTGTCCATCAGCTTGTTTTGTTTCCTACATAGCAGTGTGACTCCCTAAAATCATTTTTATTTACCTACTTGGCTTTTGTTGGTCTCCCTAACTACAATGCAAGTTCCATGCACTGAGTTTGGGTTGCCAGGAGGAATGTCTAGAGTCAACGAGAGCACTTTAAAATGAGGTGGATAGTATGGGAGCTATAGAAATAAGAATGAGTGTGACTAACATGAATTAGATGGAAAGAGTCAAAGTTTACTGGACCGTAACAGCTGATTTACCTGCTATGCTACAGATGTGGCCTGAGAGGCACTGTCTGACAGAGACCGGCCTCACTGAACATGTGGGGAACTGGCATCCCAGCAGCTGCCTGAACATGCAGAAGAGTTAATGACCTCCTCTCCAGGGAGTGAATTTATTTTAACTAATGTGATTTTTACCTAATTTTTTAAAAAGGGAGCCAGTGGATAAGTCGTTCTCTCTTCCTCCCCTTGAGGCACTGTTCTGACATGCATTAGTTCCTATGTCCTCTCTGATGATGTGCTGTGAGACTGAGCCATCTTTGGGGTAATTCTTGTGAAGCTGCAGCTTGGTAAAGTTCACCTCCTTATGTTTGTTCAACAACCTTTCACCTCCCCTGCTTTGCTCCGTTTCCCCCTCACTTCTGCTTCCCTAGGTTTGTACTCCCCAGTAAAGTGCTAGGATGTTAAGCTTCTGACTCAGGCCATGTTTTCTGGGCATCCCAGGCTAAGACAAAAGCTATTCTACCTACTAAATGAAACTCAACCCAAGTACTTAGTGTGTTGATTTTCAACCTACGTGGTCAAATCCAGCAAGGTTTAGAGATGTGTACAGTGTTACTAAGTGGGTGGCACAGGCTTTACGTTGCCAGTTCATCTGCCCAAAATTGTTTCCACCAGATACAATGGCCTTTGCTGCAGCCATGTAAAAACTGTGCAGAGTTTTTTGGCCTATATGACTAGAGAATATGCAAGGTGGGACATGAAGGAACTGAGGACAAAAGAGAGGTAGGTTAGCAACACACAGAAAAGAAGCAACAGGGAAATGGAAGCAGACTAATTGCAGAAGATCAACCATTTCCCCCCAGCAGGAATTCCTGCTGCACAGGCTGCATGGCAGATTTTGGAAGCCTAAACAGCATGAATGGCTAAAGGTGTTTTCTGATGAATGAGGTTTTACTTCTTTGGCAGGTAACTGAAGTCTGACTTTGGGAACAAGAACACCTGGAAGTCAGCTCAGCTCTTGAACTACTCCCAATTCCTCATATCAGGTTCATTATGAGAAGCCACCTGTGCCTCTGCTCATCAAATCCTGCTGGTTTCTGGTTCTGATCTGTTGCAATGCACCAAAGAGTCATTTTTATTTACAAAAGTAAAATAAATAATTCATAAGGATTTCCTGACCCTTCAGCTTTGAGCCAATGTGAAATTGGTCTATGTTGATGATCACAGAATTGTAAATTGCTTCAACACTTCTGCTAAGTAATTACTTAATCCAAGTAGTAAAACCTGAGTAATATAAATTAACGAGTGGTATGGCTCAGTTTTAATTACTGAAAATTATGAATTACAAGGTTTTTTTTTTAAGAAGTGCTTATGGAAGAGAATGCTATGTATTCAACAAACTCTGCTTGCTTTTTCTCTTGGGCACACAATGGAATGCAGGCAGAAGTGGGCCTGGCTTGTGCACACAATGGAATGTAGGCAGAAGTAGGCCTGGCTTGTGCAAGAAACCTGGTATGCAAATCCTCCATGATTTTTTCCTTTTCCTATTCACTGCTTGATAAGAGAGGAAGACACAGCCCTGAAAGGAATTTAGCATAGTGAAACAATGAAAGAATCCTGGATCCCTAAAAGAATGCAGAGAAGAGACATCTCCTCTACCCTTATACCACCATCTCCCACATTGGAGATTGGAGTTTGACCTAATCAAGAAATACATTTGTTTGTTTGTTTGTTTGTTTGTTTGTTTGACCTAATCAAGAAATACATGTGTTTGTTTGTTGGTTGGTTGACTGGTTGGTTGGTTTTGTTTTTTAATGTTAAGAGACAGGATTTGAGGAAACTGTTGGTGTGAACAGTGTTGGTTACTCCAACTAGTGCAAGTTTGTAATTCAAACTAGGTTAGCAACATTCATTTAATCATTTACTTGATAAGAATCATTTATCTCGTGTTAATCTGTTCAAAAGTCCTGTAGGGTGCATGCTTTATAAAAGGATAGGACCAAATAAAATTATGCAAATTCATTTTATCAACTGGTTCTTCTATGTTATATGAGAATGTTTTTGTTCTTTTAAATATTTTAAGCATTTCCACAACAATTTGCTTTATGATATTGATTAACAATATGAAACTTCCAGCCCAGTCTATCTGAATAATCACAATTATATTTAGTTAGAAACACCACCACTTTCTTGCTTTTCTATAATTTGCTTATTACTAAGTCTGGTTGGATGTCTTGCAGAAATATGTTTCCCAAACCATTGAGCTCTACTTCATTCTGTGGTTTTAGACTCCATATCTGAATTCAGAGACATCTTCCAAATGTTTGCAACAAAAACTGTTACCTCCAAATAGAAAAACAACATATGATAATAGTCATGTAACATCCTTTGCACATAGAACTAGACTGTGTATTCTCTGAGTTATCAGAAATAAGAATTCAAGCACATATATTAACTCAAATTTAGGTTGTAAGCTTAATAGTTAATAATCAGGAAAGGGCGATTTAAATTTTTTTTAAGTTTTATAGCTTTCAAGCAGAATATGGACAGTGGTCACAAAGTCCTCATGCATGTAGGCTAAGAAAAAACTTCTTAGCTAACAGTCAAGACCTAAAATCAGTTATCGGGGTCATCTCTAATAATTTCCAAAAAAAGAAAATGGGCAAAATTAGAGCATACATATACAAAGATCTTTAAAGGGAATTTTGGACACTGTCCATTGTTTAAAAAATAATGAAGGGCCAGCCATGGTGGCTCACGTCTGTAATCCCAGCACTTTGGGAGGCTGAGTCAGGAGGCTCACTGGAGACCACGAGTTCGAGACCAGCCTGGGCAACATACTGAGACCCAGTCTCTACAAGAAATTTTAAAAGTTAGCTGTGTGTGGTGGGGCACACCTGTAATCCCAGCTACTTGGGAGGCTGAAGCAGGAGGATCACTTGAGCCTGGGAGGTTGAGGCTGCAGTGAGCTATGATCATGCCACTGCACTCCAGCCTGAGTGACAGAACAATACTGTCTCAAAAAAGATAATAATAATTAGTAGTCATGATGGTGTACACTAGTGAGAAAAAGTATAGTTCACATTAAGTGTATGCTATCTCCATAATATTAAGAACTTTTTAAGTAAATTAAGTGTAATTTTAAAATTGCATTAAGTACAGTTTCTAACTAGAAGAAGGCTTGTACATAAACAGTTGTTCAATATAAATGTTTATTGAGCTGAAATATCTTTAGTATCAAAAACATCTGGAATTACAACATTTAAAAATTCCAATTTTTTAAGCTCTTGCTTTAAAAAAATGACTTTTTTAGTTGAGATTTCCATTTTTCCTTTTTAAAATAACTTGCACTAAGAATAAAATTAGATCAATTTTTCTACTTAAAAGTCATACACATACTGTAGTGCCTGAATTTCAAATCAGTAGGGTTCAAACCAATGTAAGTTGTCTATGAGTGAGTGAAAGTGTGTGTATTTTTAGTTGCAACTTATAAGATGAGCTAAAGGTATTCCATGGCATATTCCAGATTTCCTACTGAATAACAAATGTATTCATCTAGCATGTCTAGTAGATCAATTGTCTCCATCTCCTTTCTTCCATCACTACTTATGCTTAAACATCCTTAAAGCTTTTCCTGTAAATACAGCTGGGATGAAGCTTCTTTCTGCCAATCTATTATTCTGTCACTTTCCTTCTTTTATGTCCTCAACCAAATAAGTGTCATTTTCCTGCTTTTATTTTGGCTGAGAATTCAACTGAATCAGTTTTCCAACAAATCTGGTGCATAGAATTCTAATTTTCCCTGTTACTTTTGCCTCCCAAACAAAAACAAGCCATCTACTGTGACTCTACTGTATTTGGAGTTGGAACAGGTGCTATGTCTTCCTAAGCCCCAAACATCAAAATAGTTGTGAAATGGGATTTGCACTCCACTGATCTGTGTAAAATCATAGCTAACAACAACGTATATTTACAATGAAAAGATTTCCTGGCACTGTGAGCACACAAGCCCTAGGAAGGTTTTAAATGTTGCACTTTGCCATTGTGTTTCTCTCTGGAAACTAATGCCAAATAATGCATTCATTGAGTATGAATCTAATATACAAATTAGAGCTTGTGACTAATGGGTTTTTCAAGAAGCGTGAAATTCCTTTTTGTAATTGCTGAGTGATAGACATTTCCACTGAATTTGATATTTCTACGAGAGTTTCTTTCATCCTAGTTAGTGACTGGAAAATCTGCAAGAGGAAAGTACTTATAGGGTGGTGGGAAAGATTCATGTAAATAATGTGCCTTTGAAGTTGGAGAGTTATTTTTAATAAAATTTCTAGAAAATGAATATGATCAATGAGGTCTTTGTTTAACAAATTTGCTTTTCTTGAATCTTATAAAATTGAGTGAAAATGAGAACATTGCCCTGTTAGACAAATGTTCGTGAGGGTATTAAATAAAAATCCTATAGGAATTTGTATAACATCTTAAGTAGGTTTAAATAATCCTTGAAGTTGAACCAGAAGTACATTTTATAAAACTCATCTTTCTCTCTCAAGAGTCCCATTCAGGATAACATGTGTGCAAATCCTAGGCAATATATGGCTGCAAAGTGAGGCAAGGGACACATCAAGAGTGAAGCCAAGTTCTTTCTGAGTTATGCCCTATAACTCCTCTGTATTTTGGTCTCTAATTCCACGTGTGTAATACAAAATGAAGAAATAAAGCTTTTTTTCTCTATGGCCTCTTGAATGAATGAACAATAAGTTTGAGAAATTCTAGGAAAAATACTTACTGTGCCAGGCATTGTTCTTAAAATGTATCATTATGACATTTCTCTCATTTTAGGGACAACCTTAGGATAATTACATTTGTAACTGTAATTGAAGTGATAAGATTTCACCCAGCTCTCTATTTTTCTAAAATCAGCTTCCCTTCTTCCCCACTTTCCCTCCCTACTTCTCTCTCCCTTGTTTTTGAGTTACTTCATGTACATTAGCTTGGGGCTGAACACTGTGTTAAGCTCTGGATAAAGCCCACTGACAAGATGAATGAGTCTCTTACAGTCTAGAAGAAAAGACTAGCATTGAACAAGTCAAAGGAAAAAAATGGAGAGGTATCAATGCTCTGGGGACAAATAACAGAAGACAATCTAGAGTGACACAAAAAACTCATCTATAATTTCAGATAGATGAGGGGAGGTGGGCCAATTAATGATTTCATGGAACTAGAGAAACAATTTTGTCAAAACTGTTTATCTTGGCCTCCATTCATGTATTTCCTTAATTCTGTAACCCAATCAATTTGGGTAGAAAGGGATAACAGTAATAGTTGGTTTTTTAGGTTGCCATTTATGAGGCTCCTAAGAAAGAATGATGAACTAAGACTTGAGAATCCAAATCTCTCACAATGGCTCATTGTTTCTTCTGAACAAGGTTCTGCATCTTGATGAAAAATTAAATGGAGCCGTGGCAATTCCTTGGCTAGGATTGTTTTCAAGGTTATGTGAAATTTTAGTATATCCCTCTGAACTCTTCCTCCACTGAAACCCTACATTCTTGCTTTCTATTCTGGCTTTAAAATCCTGATAAGTTTAAGTGAATTTATTAGATCATGCTCACCATCATGGACTGAAGAAATATTACCAAATAAATATGGAGATCAAAAGCAACTACCAGCAACAGAGTTGGGGTATTAGCTAGTACACTTTGTAAATGCAACGACTTTCTCTTGCTTTAGAGTTTCACCATAAGTTATGATTCTTCCTTTGACTTACAAATAGGAAAAGATAATTATTCCAGCTAATTTTATTGTATGCATTTTACACAGAAACATAAACAATCCTTAGAACACTCAGTCATAAAAGATTCACAAATTTATATTATTTATACTTTTCTAAACTCAAAATATACCGATGGAGTTCCAGTTCCCATTGACATATATGACTCTCAGGAGCTACTATATATCATATTAAAGTGTCCTTGCAGAGGTGCTCTTTCAGGGCCATGCCAAAAGTTTAATCTGGAACCAGACAAAACTAAACCAAGCTGTGACTCAAACTACTTCAGAATTGGATTCAGAAAGTATTATAGGCATCTAAATCCTAAGACTTATCCTAGAGAGAATAAAATGTTTTTAAACCAAATTTCTTAGAATCTTTTTATATCTCTTGATGTGAATTCATTGGAACATCCATATTTGCCATTTTGCATCCACACATCGAGCAGCTTAGCATTTCTCTGGGCATCTCTCACCCGCACTACTGCATGTACCTCTAGGCTACTCTCCACAACCTCTCCCTCCTCCACACTATGCAGAAAATTCCCATTAAAAATCTGATAATGTCCTCTTGTCTAAAAGCTTCCCCATGTGCCCCACACTCTACGGTATACATTTTAATTCTTTAACTTGGTAGAAGTGTCCTTATATAAATATATCCCCAAACTACGTCTCTAGCCTCAGCTACTGTTCCACTTCATTCACTCAGTGTGTCCTGACACATGCAATACCTCTTTTCTGCCCATATGTGCTCCTTGCTAAATCCTTCTGTACATACAATTTACTTTGCTTAAAATTCTCTACTCCTCCATTCTCTGCCTGGCAAACTTCCTAATCTAGCCTTCTCTAATGTAGCCAGGAATGATTAACAAAGTTGTCATGGTAATTTGTTCATCGGTGTTATGACACTTATTTGTGTGTCTTATGATATGACTCATATTTGTGTGTATTCCCTTTTCCTTCACTTGCTGTAGCTTACATAATCTTTGATGGCAAAGACCATGTCTTGATTATCCTTGTGTGTTTGCATATATCTATATCTCTATCACCTGTCTAATGCTTTATATAAGTGCTCAATGACAACTGGATAAATGATTTTTCTTAAGACATATTCAGACTGAATTGACCATTTAGGCTAAGTTGATCAGCCTCTACTGCAGCCCTAGAAATTTTAGTTTGACAAAATAGTCCAAATGAATCTATAAAAAAACTAATTTCCACTATAATATGGTTAATTGTATCTTTTCTTCAACTAATTTATTTGGATTTATATTTAAGTTTACTTAAAGTCACAGGAATATTTATTTTTCCTTCAAAAGGGAAAAGAGCAAAAGAAATAAATGAAAATATTTAAAATTTTCTTATTACACAGCCTGCATCTTTGCAACATATTGTTATACTGGTATTGTCTAATTAGCCACAAGAGTTACACAATTCAATATTTAAAATTCCATACTTACTGAAAACTATATTAGTTCATATATTCATTTATGTGAAAATGTATAATATATAATAAATGAATAAACATTCATATTAATTGTACAAGTCAAGAAAATAAATATTAAAAGGTTTGGTGTTTCTAGCTATGAACATTGGTTCAGACAAAAAATAATATGTCATAGAACTATTCTGACCTGAGGACATGTTCCATAAATTTTATTGAATCAATTTTCCATAGGAAAAATGCAAGCAAGGAGAAAATTAAACAGTATTCTATGTTTATTTTTCTGATATTTTATTTACTAAGGAGAAGAGATAATTCCCTAATAGGGAAGATGAAAATTACTGATAAAATTTTATTTATATGCTAAAAAAGTATAATTCTTGAAATAGGAAATCCATACCAGTCCTTCTAAAAACATTTTATGATAAGCAGCTTTCACCTCTTTTGTTTATTCAAATAGAGAACTGGATTTACTTCTGTTCGGTGCAGGCCATACAATCCACACATCTTTTCAGGAGTTTGAACACCAATATTCAGTGTGAACTCTTACTGTCTATGAATGCCTAAATGATCTTCTGATTAATAAAACAACAACAACAACAAATAAACAAAAAACCTGGCTCCTGGGTAGAAAAGAAAATCTGAACTTATTCTAACTCAATTCAGAGTACACGTGCCCATTGTATGCCCCCAAACGCGTGGATGGATAAGGAGATCATGAAATGGGCAGGTGGAGAGGAAGGAATAGAAGGAGAAATAAATGCATTTTCTTACTTGAACTCAGTAAGATTCCTTAAAATGAATAACACATAGTGGTATATTTACTTGCAAACAATCCTTTGCAGAAATAGCTTAGGTGTCATCCAAAGTTTTTAAACAATGAATCAGAATATATTCTCCCTCAATCCCGTTGTCCAGGTATGACATGGGATAGCTCCTGCAGACCTAAGGGACCCACATTGTGCTTCTATGACCATTTCACGTGGTGGTAGTTCCTGTGGGTATTGTCTGTTGCTTTCCAGTTCCTCTATCAACTGCAAATGTGTAGAGGCACTTCCCACAGGATGCAAGCTGCATGAGGGAAAGGACTTTATCTTTTTCACTTCTATATCCCTGGTCCCCTGCTCGGTACATTATTACTGATGGAATGAATGAATGTGAACCCTACCACCAAGACCTGTTATCCATTGAATCCTAGCCCTTCTATCCAGTGAAAGGTCACATGGGCAGAACTGGATGACTAAGAAGAAGCAAAAGGAGGCATCCCAGAGGCTCCAGCCAGAGGCATGCCAACTGAGAGTGCTGGGACTCTTATCCCAAAGTTCTCATTCCTTGTCTCACTTCATTGACTTATAAAGATTGAGTAAAAGAGACTATGCAATGGACTGAATAATTCTGACTCACCTCCCCATATTTCCAAATCCATATGTTGAAACCCTAATCCCAGTTTGATAGTATTTGAAGGTGGGGCCTTTCAGAGATAATTAGGTCATGAGGGTGGAATTCACATGAATGGGAATAGCACCCTTATAAGAAGAGGCCAAAAAACTAGCTAGCTAAGCAATAAGTGTTTGTTGCTTAAACCATCCAGATTATGGCATTTTGTTACAGCAACTCAAGCTAAGACACAGACTAATTTCATTTTTTCAAAATATAAAGTGAATGGTGTGAAATAAAAAGTGAAAATAAGAGGAGAAATATTAACAACTCTTCTATCACAGTTATTTGTCTTTCTCAGAGCTTTTCCAAGGTAAGTGCTGTATTTTATTCATCTTTGAATAGCCACTACTTTGACATAACACCTGACATGTAATTGGTGTTCAACATATGTTTGTAGAACAAATGACGGCCACACACCTTGAAATGCATGCAAATAAGATAATCCGTTTTCTACAGATGATGAATATCCAGGACACTTCTCGCATGAGCCCTCTAGTCCCTTGACTGTGCTCCCTAAGGTATCACTGATGTGAAGTCCAGGCCTTTGTTTAAAGACCAGTCTCCACAGAGAATATGGGTCTCTGTGCTGACACAGAGACAGAGATATCCCAGGGAATAAGGCCTAATGAGAAAATTTAATTAAGTGTTGCCCCTTCAAGGGGTTAGGACCTGATACAATCGTTCCAGGCATTTTAAGGTGTATATGTCCTGCAGGGCCACCTGAACCATCAGCTCTGGAAGCCTGAGATGAGGTAGGAGCAGTTTGCTTACTGAGCTCACTGAGAACACTTCCTTCTGCTTAAGCCTCTTTTTGCTTCTCCTTCCATCCACTGTTCAAAAATATGTGTTGCACCAGGCACTGTGCTAAGGGATGGGGATAACAAAAATAAATAATGCAGTTACAGTCTTTGCCCTTACAAAGTGCACTGCCAAGCAGGAGAAACAGATATTTAACCAAGCAGATACAAAAAATGCGATAAGATATAATCGAGGAAGAATAAGGTATTTGTCAAGAAGAGAATCCCAAGGGGTGGGAGTGGGAGGCAGAAAAGGCATCCCTGAGGCAGTAATGTCTAAGTTGGGACCTGAAGATGAATTTAATTTATTTAAGCCTTCCTACAAATCCATGTCCTGACCACAATCTGATCCTTCTTGCCTCCTGTGGGTCTAAGTGTCCTGCCTGTAGGACGATAATCCATCTTGATTATAATCCATCTTGATTATAATCCATCTTGATTATACCACTTTGCCACAAACCATTTCAATTCTGTAATGACTGAACTCTCTTTTGTCCTGTTAGGACGCTAAAATCTGAAATCCCTTTCTGAGGCCAAAATTTGAAAGTTTCTGTAATGCAATTCAGTTGAATAAACAGCATCCTAAAACCTCTTAAGCCTGAGAGTAGCAATACAATGTTCTGTGTGCCTTTAAAACAGCCACTCCTCCTTCTGTCAAGCCTTCACTTTATCTAAGTTGAATGGGAAAACAAATCAAATCCACATAATGGAAGATTCATCATGGGGTATGCAGTAACATGACTGGCTGGTCAACAAACTTGAGATGTTATACAAATACTACTTAAAATGTCATCTTTAAGCATTTCAAACATCTTAGGATTGATGACATTCTATCTAGCAGTTTGCAATGTAAAGAAGTTTGATCTTTAGAAAAGTACCATTAGAAGTTGCCAGGGTACTTCTTACAATTGGACATTATAGAAACCATACTTTAAGGTGTGAGGTTTTTGTGTGTGTGAGAGACAGGGTCTCACTCTGTCATGCAGGCTGGAGTCCAGTGGTGCAATCATAACTCACTGCAACCTTGAACTCCTGGGCTCACGTGATCCTCCCCTTTCAGACCCCTGAATAGCTAGGACTACAGGCACACACCACCACATCCAGCTAATTTAAAAAAAAAAATAGTAGAGATGAGGTCTCACTATATTGTCCAGGCTGGTCTCAAACACCTGGGCTCAAACAATGCTCCAGCCTCAGCCTCCCAAAGTGCTTGGATCACAGGTCAAGGAATTCTGATGTCCAAGATACTTCCTGATGAATTAAATGACCTTCAGTTAGATTCCTGACTGATATATTATGGGAAATCTTATTTTGAGTATATTAAATTGCATTGCATTAAAGAAGCATAAAATTTTATGGTATATAAGAATATGCAAAGTTATACTCTTTTTTTAATATGAAATTGATTACTTTTCTATGAGCTTCTCTATGAGTATTGCTTTTTCTATGAGCCACCAAATGGCAAATCTGAACTGGCAATAATACTAGTGTAAAAGAAATTTAATTACAGAAATTCTCACAGAATAAGAACTCAATTTGTTATATGTCAATAATTATATTCAGTTTAAAATAAGTCATTCATAAACTCAAAAACATAATTATTGTCAACTATAATTCTTATATATTCAGTACAGGCTGAGTATTATCTTATCCAAAATGCTTGAGACCATCAGTGAGGATTTGTATTTTTTTTTCTTTTGGATTTGAGAATATTTGCATTATACTTACCGGTTAAGCATCCCAGATTCAAAACTCCAAAATCTGAAATACTCCAATGAGTATTTCCTTTGAGCATCATCATGGCAGCACTCAAAACATTTTGGATTTTAGAGCACTTCAGATTTTGGATTTTTAGATTTGGGATGCTCAATCTATATGTCTATATTTTTTAATTGTATGAGTATTAAAAGCTAAATACTGAGAGAGGTGCTAGCCCATGGAAACCATAACCTTAAGGCTGCTTTCTAAATTCTGTCCATAGACTACAAGTAAAAATTTATCACCTTCAGAATCTCTGATATTTATGAGAAATGAATTCAGTTTTATACCTAAAAACATTAAAAGTCTGTGAATACAAGTAGCAACCGTGGTGTAAGGCCTAAAATAAAGCCCTATTGTAAATGTTGCCTTGACATGTGGTGAAATCAGGAGGGCCTCAAATGGCCAAACTGAAGCTCCCCCTCCCCATTCTGTCCTGACAGATAAAGTCCCCTAGCTAAACATTCCTTTTTATCACAGGGACCAGACACAGCTCCTGCTTATTCCTGAGTAGCACGTTTCAGTTCCCCACCAATCCACAGAATGTTTCAAGCAAGCCAATCACATCCTCCCACAGGAACCAGGGAGTACTCCACCCTCTTGACACTATGAAGCCTGCCTCTCACAGCCTTTGCTCATTGACATTGCTCCTGGGTGCAACCCCTCTGTGGCACTGCAGGGCATATGGAGTCCTCCTCCCCCAGCCATGAGAATAAGTGACTAGGAAACTGCTGTCAATGTCACCTGTCCCATGTTGCGTTATTGTGTGTTCCACCATCCCCAGAACTCCAGGGCAGGAATCTCTCCTTCATCAGTGGGGTAAAAGGAAGGCAATTAAAACAGCAACTTTATTGACTATTGAATGCAAAATTAAACACTCACCTTTTGTTCTTATAGACTAGGGGTCCTCAAAGCCAAGGCTGCAGACTACTACTGGTCCATGGCCTGTTAGGAACTGGGCCTCGCAGCAGGAAGCAAGCAGCAGGTGAGTGAGCATTACCGCCTGAGCTCTGCCTTCTGTCAGATCAGCAGTGGTAGTAGATTCTCATAGGAACATGAACCCTATTGTGAACTGCGCTTGTGAGGGATCTAGGTTGTGCACTCCTTATAAGAACCTAACTAATGCCTGGTGATCTGAGGTGGAATAGTTTTGTGCCCAAACCATTGCCCACCCACTCCCATCTGTGTAAAAGTTGTCTTCCATGAAACTGGCCCCTGGTGCCAAAAAGGTTGGGGACCTCTGTTATAGACCATCATTTCAGTTGAGTATTTAGCTCTACTGCCAGAAAAGGATATGGAAGGTTCTAGGGGCTTCTACTCATGGCCAAGGTCATAAAAAATGACATCGAGTTTCTAGCATTACAAAGCAAATAGTTTGTGCCAAACCCAAACCTGCGTTTTTATGCAGTTAATATATTTTGATTTGAACACTGGGGCCCTGAGAGTGAATCTATACCACTCAATGAATATTCCACAAAGTAATCATTATTAACCAACTTTAACTAGTGTACATTAGCATAGGTTTTGAGGAATCTTGTTCCACTGAACCACAATATTGGGGAACTACACAGCATTCCAATAAGAGTTCTTCATATAAAACACAATTGTGATTATGTGTTAAAAACATGTTACTTTTCCCCCTCACTGTTTTCATGATTAAATGTTTCTCTACTGGTACATTAAGTCAATTTACTCAAATATTCATAAAACATGAGATTTTATTTATCCATCTTTCCCAAAAATTTAATTTTTAGGAATAGTTTTAATTGTTCAGCGAATAAAATATTTCAATATCTATTGAACTTTTAGCCATTCAATAGATACATCTAAGCCACACAAAATGCCATAGTAGAGTTGAAAATACAGGTCAAGTCCTGTCTAATGAAGACATACAGATGTCTAGTTGTAACTAATAAGATTTTTCCTGCATCTTTATGAGGCCCATGGTATTGGTATTTTCTAGTTCATTTAAAATTATTTTTAGCTTATACTTTATGACCTAGCAAATGTCTTTTCCAGTAAGAGTTAAACCTTAACTTATAGTGAAGAATGTTGTTTGATACAACTGCATTAGAGAATTGTATAATAGACCATAAATGTTCAAAAAGTTCTAATTGCCATACCGTCATTCATCTATTCAGCACACATTTATCAGACACCTACCAGGGCCACCCATTGATGCTACAAAGATAAACTATACAATCCCTGTCCTCAAGGAGCTCACATAAAAGCTAGAGAGGGCACTTTGGGAGGCTGAGGTGGGCAGATCACGAGGTCAGGAGATCAAGACCATCCTGGCCAACATGGTGAAACCCTGTCTCTACTAAAATACAAAAAATTAACCAGGCATGGTGGTGCATACTTGTAGTCCCAGCTACTCAGGAGGCTGAGGCAGGGGAATCGCTTGAACCTGGGAGGTGGAGATTGCAGTGAGCCAAGATCGCACCACTGCACTCCAGCCTGGTGACAGAGTGAGACTCTGCCTCAAAAGAAAAACAAAGCTAGAGATGAGACTTGGCTTAAAAGAGTGGAGGATAGGATCCAGGGAGAACACTGATAATTGATTATTCTCCCAAAAACTAGAAAGGGTCAGCAAATACAGATTAGGGTGAAAAGAAAAAGTGAAAACGAGAAAGTTCCAAGAAAAAGAGTAGAGTGCTGAATGAGTTAAGATAACCTAAGGGTGGTATATTGGGTAGAACTCTGGTCCCCAAAAAGATATGTCCAAGCCCTAGTCCCCAGTACCTGTGAACATGACCTGATTTGAAAAAAGGATCTTTGCAGATGTAATTAAGTGAAAGATCTCAAGATGAGATCATTCTGGATTAACCAGGTGCCTCAAATTCAAAGACAAGTTTCTTTAAAATAAAAGGAAAAGACACAGACAGAAGAGGAGGAACATAGAGGAGAAGGCCACGTGAAGAGAGAGGCAGAGGCAGGAGCTCCACAAGGCCAAGGATCACCTGGAGCTACAAGAAGCTGGAAAACCCAAGGCCAGATCTCCCCTAGAGTTCAGAAGGAACATGGTGCTGCTGACACCCTGACTGTAGACTGCTGGCCTCCAGAATTGTGAAAGGATACATTTAATTTGTGTTAAGCCACCGAGTTTGTGGTAATTTGTTACAGAAGCCCTAGGAATCTAATATAGGTGGGGTACCTGAGAGGGATTTCCTAGTCTAGGAATGAATAGCAGGAAGGAATATGCAAACACACAAAATCAAGTTTCTAAATTGGAAAATAATATTCTTGTCTCTGAAGACAAAAAAGATGGAACATGGTAGAGTCTGTATTGGCCTAGATCAGAAGCCCCATCTGTCGTTGCCTAGTTGCGTCATTGGACACACTCCTTTCAGAGTCTCAATTTCATTGTCTGTAGAGTGAGGGGGACTGACAAAGAGTAAGCTGAGAGTTAAAACGTAGTGTAAACAAAACCTAAACAACAGCATAAAGAACCACCCACTCATCACTGCATTTGGGGAATGTTGGTAAAAAGCTCTACTCAAAAACAAACATTAAAATGGAATATCTTGCGTTACTCCAGGGACAAAAGCGAGCTACAAAACTTTTATTCTGACAGGTCTCCTCCTTGAACCAGCCCCCACCCCAGACCCTATTCCTTCATTTTGATGCTGAACTTTTAGACCAAATACAGTGGGCACCATCTGCTATCAATACAGCCTATACTCTTCCCAGCCAAGATGAGTTCCAGGCCAAGTTTATCTTGTGAGTTAACAGGAGGTGACAAGCCTGGCAGGACACAAATTCTCCCTGCATGATTGATGCAGCCTGGCTGACCAGCTCCATGCTAATGAGGATGTGCCAGGACTCCCAACAAAAACATTTTTGAATAATTTAAAACGAAAGCATAAATTGCCAGGTAATGTGATTCATTGTGTAAGTATAGCTCCAGTTAAATTTGCGTTTAGGGGTGCCTCTATAGCAAACATCAGTTGACTGCAAACTGCCTGTTAGCAAAATTAACCATATAAATATTGCAAAAGAGCAGAGAGACATGTTAATCTTGTGAGGGAAGACAGTGAAGATAAAGTGTTTCAAATGCAATACTTCTAAATGAATAAGAGAATTAAACATGAGTAGAATATCTATTTTCGTCCATTATAATAGGTTTAAGTACAAACTGATACCATTTCTGGGGAATTGACTTTAATTTCTTGCCCTAATTCAGTTATCTACTTAAATAAGTTTAAATAAGTTTCTTTTTCCTTTTCTGGCAGTTTATGGCCCCTCCTATATACATCCTTATGCCAATCATTCAAATAAGGTGTAACAAACATCTGAAGCATTCCTTAAAAGAGGGAATTGCCAAATACATTTCGCCTAAAGAATCAAAATGCTAAAAACATTTTCAACTACGTTGGGTAAGGATTTATTAAGTATGGGCCCATACTTTTTTAAAACATTGTCCTTTTAACCTGAACATTGGAGAGTTAAGAGAAAAATAATAATAGCCAGATTTTTCCATCCAGTGGGAGCCTTGTACAGAAAGAGCACTTGAACTAAATGTGGAGCCAAATAATTTAGGTATACATTTGACCTTGAATTTGTTAGCTACAATGAGGCTGAGGACAAACTATCTGATCTCTGTAAGCCTCAGTTTTCTCATCTAAAAAATGGATTTCAGCCAGGCACGGTGGCTCACGCCTGTAATCCCAGCACTTTCGGAGGCCGAGGCGGGCAGATCGTGAAGTCAGGAGATTGAGACTATCCTGGCTAACATGGTGAAACCCCGTCTCTACTAAAAATACAAAACAAAACAAAAAAATTAGCCAGGTGTGGTGGCGGGCGCCTGTAGGCCCAGCTACTCAGGAAGCTGAGGCAGGAGAATGGCGTGAACCCAGGAGGCAGACCTTGCAGTGAGCTGAGATTGCGCCACTGCACTCCAGCCTGGGCAACAGAGCAAGACTCCATCTCCAAAAAAAAAAAAAAAAAAAAAAAAATGGATTTCATATCACCTAGCCAATCTGCTTCACATGAATTTTGAGACTCAAACCAAATGGAATAGTGTATATAAAAGCGCCTTTGTGACATAAAGCCTCAATAGCACTGTAGAATATTAATCACTCAAACAAGTAGGAATATATTCATTTAAGCAAATGTTAGACTAGCATTTTTAAAATGAAAAAAAAAAAAGTTGTCCTAAAATGTTTTTCCAAGTTTCATCTGCCACCAGGGACATGAATTCAGGAAATCTTATCCTCAACTTCCTAGTCTGGAGGCACAGCAATGACAGGAGGAGCTTCAAGGTGACGGTCACCACCTGTGTTCCACTCTATTAAATCAACATCTCTGAGATGCCTCCAAGCTGGCAAGAGAAGCACATCCACTATTGAGTCCCAGCCTTCCTTGCAACCTGCCTTAACTGTCCTCACCTCCCCCCACTGCACCTGACACAACAGCTGTTTGGGCAGCTCCCACCAGAGCTGCTGATTTCAAAGCCCTGTACCGTTCAACTATGCATGTCCATCCCATCCTGTTACACCATGGTCATCTGAGACTTCTAATATGCATTCGTGATCCTAAACACTTGCTCCTCATTCAATTTTTTTGGATTTCAGAAACCAAACCCCCTGTTAGAAACCTTGTATGTTAGGATAGAGAAAGGTAATTCCCATGTGAATATACAATCATCTATCTCAATTTGTTTTAAAAATCTTATTATTTGAAATAACCAGTCACAAAACACTTAAACACCTGTCTTATTGATTACTTTCTGTGTTATAAAGCTGTCTTTTTTCAGATCTTCCACAAAACCAAACTTGAACTTCTTGAAGCTGTATTTTTCTTAATGTGGTCTTCTGTACAGTTTGAAAACTTGGAAACTTACTAGAAGTGTTCATCAAAATGTTGCTTTATTTTTAAGTAGAGGTTTAGAGAGTTCTGTGTATGTTTCTTGTTATTTAATCAACAATTAAAACTTAATGACAAAATGCTTCACATATGAAATCAATAGGGATTTTCCATGAGCAAAGACTGTAAAATCAGCCTATTATGAAGAGATTTGCATATTTTAATTATTGTGTTCTAGGGCTTTTGTCAAATAGATGCCTCAGTGCAGTAAGCACCATGTGGTTTGGGTAAAATGTTAACACTCTGCTTCTAGTATACATCAATGTTGTTAGAAGCATAAATATGTTAAAATGGAAATACGTCTGGTTAGAGTGAAGCCTTCATTTTAATGCATGTGTTTATTATCTTGCTCTCAGAGTTTATTTGGAGAAGAAGAAATTTAGGAAGATTAAAATGTAAATAAACTGCTTGTAGAGGTCAAGTTAATTAGTAAATACACACAAATGACCATAACATAAGACCTTTGGCAACACTGCCAAAGTAGCCTCAAAACACAAAGCTGATTACTGAAATAATTTTGACTCTGAAGTGCAGATAACAAGTTAAATGCATAAAAATTCAGGTTTTTATTTCTCTATCTCTGACAACTAGTTATTTTAAAACTCTAAAGGATAGTAAAGTTTATTCATTTATTTATTTACTCATTTAAATATTATTATAGAGAGTTGGACAAGCTACCTAACCTCTCTTTGCTTCTGTTTTCTAGTCTGTAAAATGGGGCTAAAAGTTGTATCTATTGCACAGGATTGCTGTAATAATTAAATGAATTACTGGATAAAAAATACTTAGAATAGCACCTGTTACAGATGATGATGGTGGTGATAACGATGATGATTATATAAGGGCTTTCAGAATTCAAATATATTTTTTAAAAACCAAAAATTTATATTAAGATTTATAATATCCATTAAGTTTATAGATTTCCATTAAGTTTATAAAATAAGCTTCAAACCTACAGTTTTGAGGCTTGAAGGAAGAGTCCATTGAAATAATGTCAGAAAGGGCTGCAATTTTAGAAAATAAAAGCAGCTTTTGCAAGTTACTCACATTTTCAATGAAAAGATTAAATATTCATTGGCTAATTATTTAGTATTTATAAAACACAATATTAAAACATGATTTGATTCATGTTTGTGACATTTCTAGAGATATATCTTTTTTCTGAAGAAGAGGTAGAATCAAATATATAATGTCATAATTCCTGACACCAATATCACCTATGCAATGCAAGTTTGCATGAAGACATTTGTGGAGGTCTGCATTGAGCAAAGTGGGCTCTGTCCATCAGGAAGCACTTTCTCACTGAGCTTCAGTGTCATTAAATTACAGCACTCCTAAAAACACATTTTTAAAGCTTTTCACAAGCCCACCAAGTTTCTGATAGCCTGTTCTACTTTATGTTAATCCTCTGGTTCTAGAATTTTATATGTATATGATTGGGGTGGGGTGGAGGAGACTCCCTTGAGGATCTGAAAAAGCTATGGATCATCTCCCTGAAAATTCACTTACACGTATCTTTTACATTCAACTTCAGGGACTTCATGGACCAGAGTTCCATCCATAGAACTCACTATTCTAAATGGCGACTATTTGATTTTACCCTGAAATTAAATTTAATATTTCAGTAAAACATCATATGCCCATATGAAATACAGATGAAATTAATTAACACAGATTTAATTTCTATGTAAAGATATCAGATTATATGGTTATATATATTTAAAAATATTGCTGTGTATCTTTTGAAAGTAAAGAACAATAGCTAAATTTCCAAACAATATACCGTATTAGTTTTTAAATTTTTCAAATTGACAGATAAAAATTATGCAAATGTTTTGATGTACAAATGATGTTTTGAAATGTGAATATACTATGGAATGGCTAAATTGAGCTAATAATTAACAAATGTATTACCTCACATACTTATTTTGCTTTGATGAGAACACTTAAAATCTACTCTCAGCAATTTTCAGGTATGTAATACATTGTTATTAACTATAGTCACCATGTTGTATAATATATCCCTTGAACTTTTCCTCCCTTCAGCTGAAATTTTATACCCTTTGACCAACATCTCCCCAATCCCCTCCTGCCCCTAGCCCTTGATAACCACCATCCTACTCTCTGTTTCTATGAGTTCAACTTTTTCAGATTCGACATGTAAGTGAGATCACAAGGTATTTGTCTTTCTGTGCCTGCATTATTTCACTTAACATAATGTTTTCCAGGTTCATTTATGTTGCCACAAATGCCGAATTTCCTCCTTTTTATAGGCTGAATAGAATCTCATTGTGTATATAGGCCACATTTTCCCTATCCAGTTATCCATTGACAGACACTTAAGTTGATTCCATATTTTGGCTATTGCAAGTAATGCTGAGATGAACATGGAAATGCAGATATCTTTATGAGGTGGTGATTTTCTTTCCTTTGGTGTACACTCAGCAGTGGGATTGCTGAATTATGTGGTAGTTTGACTTAATTTTTTGAGGAACCTCCACACTGTTTTCCACAATGGCTGTTTTCCATAATGCCAAAATTTATATTGCCACCAACTCCGTACCATTTTCATGGCTGTTTGTTATTGTTTTCAATTGTGTAAAGAACAGAGCAGGAAGCATGTCAAGAGAGTCTATTCATTACTAAGGAAGGCAAAGGGTAAACTACAGTATGATTATATTGATCCCATCAGCTACATAATAGTATTTGAATAAGATATCCTTCATTTAAAAATATGTAAGTGTTTAAAAGTATAACATTTAGTAAACATGGTAAAGGTTTCAGCAATCTTCTGGTGAATAGGTACTCTTGACATCTCACATCTGTTCCAACAGAGTACTAAAGAGCCAGGAACGCCCAGGTAAGAGCTGAAAACAAAATTCATTTAGATAGCACTACATAAAATTTATATAATCTTCCTATTAAACAAAACTGCGATGACAGACATTTAACATTCCCTCACTTTATGCGTAAGTGACTGAGGTCACATCACAAGACCATTAGAATTAGAGGCAGATATAGAGCCCTGGTGTCTACCCCAGCAGGTGTTAGGATAAATTACACTTGCAGCCTGAGAACTTTTGATGCTACAATATAAGGGGAAAAAAGGTTTCCTATTAACCTTTCAAGTTTCAAGCTGCTTTTCTGAGAACAATAGAGGTCATAGCACACACACACACAAAGAATCAGCTTTGCTTTATCAAAATCCTTTTTGTTCCCACTTCACTGCTCATTATTCTTCCAATCTTTTTACCGAGGCATCAGAAATATTTTAAACTAGGATTAGCCTAGTTACTTTAGTTACATGCAACCCTTAGAACTATAATGTATTAGCCATATATGACATTAACCTCAGTAATATAGTGTCAGAGAGAGAAGCCTCCCACCCCATCCATGTCCACAAACACATTAAAGGAAATTTTAAATTAAATTAACCCAACCAGCATCTCCACCAGCATCCTGATGATATAATATCAAAGACTCTGATGCTTTGCTCCCATACCCACCTGCCAAAAATCTACAAAGGAGAAAAAAGAGAAGACAATGAAAAAAGAGAAAAACTGAAGACAAAAAGTTTGGACCCATACCAAATGATGAACACATAACAATTTAATAGATTATCACACCTCAACCCTCAGGAGCAAACAACAAGCACTTTTGTGATTCATGAGAAAAATGCAAAGACTTTTATTTCATTTTACAAGCTTGCCTGACTTATCTGTGCTTTTCTCTTTCTTCTTCCCATACTCCAAGTGATTTCAAATCTAGGAGGTAATTTTTAAATTGATTTGTAGATGTAGCAAGTGCAGTATTTTATCTTTGTATAGATCAAGAACTATAACGAGGTATTTCAGATTTCTGGGGCATCTTGAAAACATTAGAAATGATTAATGTGAAAAAATGCTACCAACTATAAAGCATTCTTTATCATTAGAAATAAATGATAAACCTAAAGGCAAACTTTATGAGAGAGGCACAACACGTATGCCCGTATGTGCATTTCCCTGGCTGGCTTTTAATAATAGCTAAAATATTGATAATAGCATCATGATTTCCAGTGTCCAAGTTGAAAGGTAAAGAATAAACTGATGTTTAAACTTAAAATATTTATGAAGCCCATATTACTTATACCTTTAAAACACACACCAACTTCAAAAAAAAAAAAAAAAAAGATTGGGCTCCAGAAACTCTTTCAAAGGTCCTTTCACAACTCTCTTTGAGGCCTGCTTCATGAAAAAAATGCTGTTGTCCAAAATTTTTCAGCTTGGAGAATACAATGTTGTTATTGTCTTCCATTTCAGAGGTAGGAAAGCATACATTAGTTTTCTTGGCTCTAGGTTTCCATGACTGAGCAAGGATATGGCTTTGTTCCAGATAGCAGTTTTCAAGGAATTTTGCTTACAAGGAAGTGCTAAACCAGGCACTTTAATTAACATTCATATTTACTTTGTTGCTAAATGAAGGTAAAGATTCTGTTGGCATAGATGAACTCTCACTCCCATAAATCTAAAATCCCTCTAGAGGATTCTGCTCTGGGAAGAGAGTAAGATGCATTAACACTCCATTAATATCTTCCTTGGAAACATTCTTTCTAACATTTATCTCTTCATCATTTCCTGAATCTGTAATGAAATGCTTGTGCTGGCATCTAACAAAAGGATCATGTCCAGGGCCTAACGAAGTGTTAGACACCAAGGTAAGACGCAAGCCGGCTGCACTGGCTCCTAGTGTCGGATACACAATGGTACTTTCTAGACTATATTTAGCTCCAAAGTGATGGTCAGTAGCCCTAGGACTTAAGGCACAGTCTGAAAGAACTTCAAGTTCCAGGGCTGCCAGAACAAGTTAATCAGAGTTCTATTTTCTAGGTCCTAAGCCAGACACTGAGGTAATTTCCATCTGGACATCCTTTTCTAAAGGGAGAGACTTCCTGAAAGTGACATTCTGGAATCACATAATTTCAGGGCAGAAGAGCTCTCCGAGGTCACGTATAGCAGTTTCCTGTCCATTGCTTGAAATGCTACCACAATATTCCTGCCAAGTGGCTCCCATTCAGAGATGAGGAACTCACCACCTTGTGAGGAAACTCATTCCTTATTCAACAGCTCAAACTATTACAAAGCTCCTGTTTTAGTAGAGATTAAATCTTTCTCCTGGGGAATCCCATCTCTTGATCCTGATTCTGGCCTCCAGGGCCCCCAGAACAAGATGAGTCAGTGGAAAAGTTTCACTAGCATAACTTGGTTTGTTTTTTGAAATTCAAAGATGTGTAGAAAAGAAAGTGTTGTGAGCAGTCAAGAATATTGTTAAGGTTGAAGAAAGGCATTTTTGAAGGCTTAAAAAAAGTATGGCTAGCTTTGCTTTTTCCCTAATTATGTATTTCATAATCATAGCTTTACTTCCCCTAAAATTATTCATAAGGCAGTCAAGGATAAGGAAATACTTGTTTATGATAGTTTTACTTGGATTAGGTAAATTGAGTCCTTGGGATACACCTAATCTCTGGGATAATAATAATCATCATTTTCATACATTGAGCACTTATCCTTATAAACAACATTGTGTTCAGTGCTCTATGCAATAGCTGAAGCATTACTGTCCTCATGGTACAAAGGAGAAAACTAAGACTCAGGAAGAGTAAATAACTTCTCTATGGATAATCAGTCAGTAGATGAGCCACAGGTTCAAATTCAGATCTGTCTGATTCCTAAGCTAAATTTATTCTGCTATTCAAACCTTCCTGTCTATTTTTTGGAAAGAATTTCTATAGCACTATCAATCCTCTTTAAAATTAGAAGGTACTACGAGTCTGTTAAGGATGGAATATTGGGGCCTTCCCCATTCAAATGCTAAATCCCTAACCCCCAGTGTGGCTGTATTTGGAGATAGGGCTTCTAAGGCAATAATTATGGTTAAATGAGGTCATAAGGGTGTGGCCCTGATCTAACAGGATTAGTGTCCTTATAAGAGTGTGCTCTCTCTCCCTCTCCCTTTCCCTGTCCCACTTCCTCCTCCATCTCCCTCTCTGCCTTTCTTCCTCTCTCTCCCTCTCTCCATCACCAGAGCACACAGCAAGAAGCCAGACATCTGTAAGCCAGGAAGACAGGCCTCCTCAGAGACCCCACAGGACCTAGATCTGGACGACTTCCAGCCTCCAGAACTGTGAGAAAATAAATTTCTGTTGTTTAAGCCACCCAGTCATAATACATAAATAAGTATTCCGTTGTGGCAGCGTGGGCAAACTAATTTAAAATCTTTCTATCATTTGCTAAAACCTACCAAATATATGAGAAAAGAATGGCAATGAGGCATCTCTCTTGCCAGGACCTTTTGTCATTCTTCCGACCTTCCAGCTGGGAATGAATGAGATGAAAGAGAAGCACGTGGAAATCTCCTTCCCATGGACCACGTGCTGACTGCTGTGCTTTAGAGAAACGACTCCAATTCTTGGTCGACTCTCTTCTTGGTAAATTGAGAGATCTCAATTCTAACACTCTAATATCCTATCTGCATGAAAACAAAACTTCTTCTAATCTTTCTTTCTCATCTTTTTTTGCATATATTTTTCCATTTTTCTCTTTTTCTCAGATATTTGTATTCTCTGGATTTTTAATGTAAACAAATTAGAAGAAAAATTATATAAATGACAGTAATGTTTCAGAAAAGAGATCTCTAGCTTTAAAGTTAATTTTGCTTGTGATCTCATCAATTACATTATTGTATGCTTCCTATAAAAGCATCCCAACACAACTTTTTTTTAAAGCATCTCGAGAATCTAAGAATGTTCTAGCAGTTTCAGGAATTCTTGAAAATCCAAAAAGGTCACTGAAGACATTGGAAGCCCTTCTGCGATTGCCTTTCAAGTGGTCCCCTTTCATAGCCTGACAAATGGGACAGGATCACTACAAAAAGAGACAATAAAATGTAGATTTCCCCACCTGGGGATAATTCTGAGTCCCTCTAAACAAATGTGAGAAGAATAAACATTTACATAATGTTTGCCTTCCAGATGTAAATAATCTGCTCCCAGGAGTTCATTTGATTAGAGAATGTTTCTGAGGAGGTCCAAGGTCATGCATTCGACATCAGCAAATGCTTTGCTCTCTTCTGTGACCGAAAACTGGACTAAAAACTGTATTCATCTAACTCACAAATTCAAACTATTGATGGTCTATAGCAAGTGGTATGAGAAAATAAATAACGAGCTAATGTAATTTGATCATTGTTACAGGGAACAACCCTTAGGGGTATGATTTGGGGTAATCATTGTTATTATTTTTCTATAAAAGAAGGCAAATGATTTAAATTATTTTCAAAATATTAATACTTGAAAGAAGGGAGAATCTACAGAAATTATTGTCATGCGATTATACCTTTTTTTAATAGTGACACAGAGTCGTGTTTTGTGTGTGTGTATTCTCTTGCTCTCTACACACACACACACACACACACACACACATAATTAACTTTTCCATCTTCTTCTCAAAGACTTCTCCAGGTTTCTTTACGTGTATTTAAATTAAGTAGATTCAGAAATAATTCATTAAGCATTTTAAGATGGATGTTCAGTCATTTGGCCTTTGCTAGTCTAACATGATTAAAAACATAGATAATGGAGCCACACTGCCTGATTGCAAATCCTAGCTGACACTTACCTATAAAACCTATGGCAAGTTATTTGACTGCCCTCTGCTTCAGTTTCCTCATTTGTAAGATTGCCTCATAGGGTTGGCACGAGAATTAAATTAGTTAATAAATGCAAAATGCTAAAAACAGTAGCTGGTACATTATAAAAGCTACAGAACTTGGTATTATTAATTCATACTTACGTAGCATATTGTAGCTTCAAAATGAAGCTAATAGACAGTTTTGAAAAATTATTTTTTTCTCAGTCCTCTGTGATTGGTGGCTTCATTTGATTGTAGTGTTATAATGTGATAATGCAGGCTGCAATGGAGAAATGTGGTAATTTTGCTAAAATCAGCTTTCCCCTTGCCCAAGGTATAAGGATGTGATGTCTTCTCTCATACTATAGCAATGAAAGTACATCAACCTTAGAAAAATGGTTTAAGGGAAAAATAAAATTAAATTAAATTAAAATAAAAACCCTTTCCTCATTCTTCCTACTTAAAATTACATATTGTTAAGCAGCCCCTAAAGCAAGCAAGCTTTTCCAACTTCTTGAAAAAACACCTATGAAGGCACCCTCCAAAAGGAGATAAGTCACAATAATGAAAAGTGAGAGTAAGGGAAACCCGTGACAAGAACATGGAAGAATTTCCCACTAATTACAAGGCCAATGAAACTAATCGAAAAACACAATAAGAGATCATAATTGCAATGTCAACTCTAAAGTGGGACTATAGAGCCGATGTTCCGATGCTCCTCCCCTACCATCTCTTTTTGATTCATACATACAGGGACTACAACAAATATACAACTGGTCAGCCACCCCTCTCTTGGATGCTCCTCATGCCCTATCCAGTTCTTTCCTCACTAACTCTCCTTCCAAGGAGACTGAGCTAGAAGGAAACAACTGGACAACAAGTTTGGGAAGAGAAGGCTGGGAACACGTGGTGGTGCTCTGGATCCTGTAACTGAGAGTAGACCCAGGAAGCTTTCAGAAAGCAACGCACTCCACCTTGCATTTTTTCATGATTTCATATTCAGAGTATCAGAGAAACGTGGGGTGGGGGAATCAAACACAAGAGAAGACACCATTTCACTCCAGCTAAGCTACACTGGATAAAAGCCTATTAGATGTGAAAAACTGGGCTAAGAGATACATGTGTCAAACTTCCAGGAAACTGTAGCTTTGAGAATGGAATCGTACCAAAGGGGTCCCAAGAATGGGGACAACGGCAAGCCACTGGCAATCATCATCTATAGATCTATCTCTTATCTCAAGATTGAGTAAAGAAAAATCAAGTGTGTAAAAGGAAAAGAGTACTACAAACAAAGTAAGGAGACCGTCAATCAGAAGAATGAGGAAACATCTAAACATTATCTGCCATGGAAATCCTCCATAGAATGCAAAACAGCAGGCCTTTCATGAAAAGGGAATCCAGAAGAAGAAAACAGAGTATGATTAAAAGACCATGGGATAAAGTAAATAGTAATAATGTTAAATATGTGAAGATTCTGTGTGTGTCGGTGGGGGTAGGGGGCAGGGGAAGTAATTTAGTTAATAAACATCATACAGTTTTTTAAATTATTTTTTCAATTAACACTAAAATGAATGTTTTCTTCAAACCATTACATTTTCTTTGAAAACAGGATTTTTAAAAAGATGGATAATATTTCATCGTGTATTCTATCATGTATAATTCTCTTACTGTTGGGTACTTAGGTTTTTATATTTTCCAATTTTAAATCATACTGGGTACCTTTGTGCTTACAATTTTCATAACATCTTTGATTATTTCTTTAAGATATATTCCCACAAATAAGATTGATGTGTCAATGAATTTTCTCCTATTTAAGATTTTTCTGGCTGGGTGGGCATGGTGGCTGTCACCTGTAATTCCAGCACTTTGGGAGCCCAAGACAGGTTGATCACTTGAGGTCAGGAGTTCGAGACCAGCCTGGCCAACATGGTGAAACCCTGTCTCTACTAAAAACACAAAAATTAGCTAAGTGTGCTGGCATGCACCTGTAATCCCAGCTACTCGGTAGGCTGAGGCAGGAGAATGGCATGAACCCAGGAGGCAGAGCATGTAGTGAGCCGAGATCACGCCACTGCACTCCAGGCTGGGTGACAGAGAGAGACTCCATCTCAAAAAAAAAAAAAAAAAAAAAAAGATTTTTCACTCATATCAACAAGTGGGTTTCAAGAACGTTTGTTGAAGTTTGTGCTCGTATCAGCAATATTTGTGATTATCCATTTCACAAAGTCCACCTCAGCACTGTATCTACTTTTTATCTTAATACTCCATATTTCAAAGTATTAATGTTTATTTAAAAATTTTACTAATTAGGTCAAGCACTTTTCCTGTATTTATCTATTTTTTTGTCTTCTCTGAATAACTTGTAATTGTCTCTGCCATTTTTGCCTCTTAAGCCACTGATATTCTTTTTAATTGAAAGAGCTTTTTTACATTAAGTTTAACGACTTTTACTATTGGTGGGATTTTTTCCCCAGCAAATATTTGTCCTATGCCTTTCCTTTCATTTGTGGTATGTTTCCAAATATTAATTTACAATTTTATGTTTTAAAATAACTAACAAAGCCGAGATAGAAATAAATGAGGAGAAGCAATAAAGAGTAAAATATATGTTTAAGAAAATATAATCAGTGATATGAAAGAAAAGTATGATATGTCCTCTAAAAATGCAGAACCAATCAAGCAGATGAAAAATAAATGAGAGAAGATAATATGTTTGTAGACCAAAGAATGCAGAGCCAGCCTATTATTTTGGTATTTATTCCAAAGTAATTGGAATGAAAACAATAATAGAAGACATAATCAAAGAATAACTTTCCTAGACTGAAAAAAATCATGGATATACAAATGAGATGGGCTCATCACATTTTAAGCAAAATTTAAGAGACCAATGCCCAGAAACATATTGACAAATATTTTAATCACAAGAATAAGGAAAATATTTACAAAACATTCAGATTGAGGAAGGAAGGAGGGAAGAAGGGAGGGAAGGAGAGGGTGAAAGGGAGGAAAGACAAATAGGTGGCAAACATATATCCACACTCCTATGCAATCCCATTGTGGGGATCATTGCCTCTTTCTGGAACGTAAACAATGCAACTTTGGCAGGAGCAGGTGAGAGATTGAGGTTGTAAAATAAGACAGTAGGTTGGTCAGCATCTAAGAGAAAGTATGAATGGATATAATGGAAACATTTTATGTAATGAAGTTTTTACAGGCCTGAAACTGCCTGATCACTGATGTAATTTCTTCTTGAAGAAAATATGCAGTGGATGGATGCAATAAGAACTGATCAGTTACACAGAAGAGGCTAAATATTCTAAAGCTTGCAATTTCATTATTATATCATAATCCATATCTCCTCTCTATATAGGCCTGTGGATTTTATAGCTAACTAGCAAACTTGGGGACACTCATCAAAACTGACATTCAGAAGTACAGAGTGGCATCTTTTCACCTGCTGTTTCACATAAGGAGGGAAAATGATCATCTAAAATAAGACTTTGAGAATGGCTTTACTTTATGAGGTCTGAAATTATTTTAGATCTGTGGCATAAAGCCTATCACTCTTCTGGTCTATAGTCATGTTACTTTTAAGGGAAGATGGCAAATTGCTTCAGCATTTTCCTGCAAGGTTGCTAATACATACCAGATCACTATTCCGAAGCAAACAGCTTCCTAGAATAGTACACAGAAAGCAGGATTTTAAATAAGCCACAAACCATGCTTCTTGGTTTTGTTTACACTGGTTCCACACATTGGGAAAACAATTAGTTTCGCAGTAAATTCAGTGATGAAATAAATTATGTATTTGCCTGTCAGGTTAGGAAAAATACGTTCTTGTGGGAAATCAAGAAGGACAATGCACAAGAGAGGAGGGAATTTGTGCTATTTGACCAGGGTGACAAATTCAAGCAGCTGAGGCCAGGAACCCCAAACTCATTTTCATACCCTTGTGTGCCATACAGATTTGGTACTTGTCGCCCACAAGAGAGGGTGAAACACAGGGAGCTTGGCAGCTGCTCAAAAGATTGAGGGCTTAGCAGCCCACTGTTTCCAGCCACGTTCCCTGAAAGCCTTTCACCTCGGCCAACCACCATCAGCTTTGAGGACTCTCCTGTTTTCCATAAGGAGTGCATCCGGCCTTAAGAGGAGCTATACATTTTAGGTTAATAGACCCAATATTTATTGCCCCGAAAATAGTGATTATAGTTGAAATCCTTTATTGAATGCTGATAGTGATAAGAACTGTGAGAAGCACTTATATATATAGCAATACTCTGTTTTTTAAAATTTATGTCACAAATTATTGAATCTCTAAGTAAGACAGCACAGAAAAGGCATCTAAGTACCTCATAAATGTGAGTTTCTATTTTACAAAGTGTATGAAAGCACTGTGGAGAAACACAAGATTCAATCTCTATGCTAGAGGAATTTACACACTGATACCAGAGATAAGAGCCATCTAAATTACTGTAATCAAAGTAAAATGTGGCAACTTCTCTAAAAGAAATAAAATTAAGTGCAACAGGAATAGTGGTCAAAGGGAAATTAATTCCAACAAGAAGTGTCAGAGAGATCTTCCTAAGTTAAATAGCCATTTGAGCTGAGTCTTGAAGGGCAGGTAGCATTAGAAATAGAGAGCAACAGCCAAGAGAAATAAAGAATCTGCTTGGGACACAGCAGTGATTCCATTTGGCTAGAATACAGGGTATGTGGAGGAGCAGTGGCAGCCAATCCTGGAAAGGCAGAGGCAACCCAGTAATGGATGACCATATATGTTAAGCTAAGAGTGATTAAGGTGTCACTAAGGAAAAAAGATCTCGGCATTAAAGAGATTAATCCAGTAATTGTGTGTAGTAAAGTGGTGAAAGAAAAAAGGCAGAGAATTGGGAGTGGGGGGCTGCAACAGTCTAGATAAAAGTGATGAACTGACTACAGTTATCAGCGGGAACAGGCAGTGTTATAGGCTGAGTTGTGCCCCTCCCCAACTCGTATGTTGAAGTTCTAACCCTCAGTACCTCAAAATGTCAGTTTTTAAAGATAAGGCCTTTAAAAAGGTAATTAAGTTAAAGTGATGTCATGAGGGTGGGCTTTAATCCAACTGGAGTGGTGTCCTTTTAAGAAAAGAGAAGGTGGGCCTGGCGCAGTGGCTCGCGCCTATAATCCCAGCACTTTGGGAGGTCGAGGCGGCAGATCACGAGGTCAGGAGATCGAGACCATCCTGGCTAACACGGTGAAACCCTGTCTCTATTAAAATTACAAAAAAATTAGCCAGGTGTGGTCGGGGGCACCTGTAGTACCAGCTACTCAGAAGGCTGAGGCAGGAGAATGGCATGAACCTGGGATCCAGAGCTTGCAGGGAGCTGAGATCATGCCACTGCACTCCAACCTGGGCAACAGAGCGAGACTCTGTCTCAAAATTAAAAAAAAAAAAGAAAAGGGAAGGTGGACACAGACACATACAGAAGGAGGCTCATGTGAAGACACAGAGAGAGCATGGCCATCCGCAAGCCAACGAAAAAGATATCAGAAGAAACCAACCCTGCTGACATCCTGATCTTGGACTTCTAGCCTCCAGACTGGTGAGAAAATACATTTCTATATCGTTGTGTAATACTTTGTTATGGCAGCCCTTGCAAACTAGTAAGGGCAGGAATGGAGATTCTGTAATACAGGAATGGACAGATGTAAGCAATTTAGAAGAGGATTAATTCAAAGCAATCGGCTACAACCAGAGAAAGAAAAATTAGAAAGAGTAAAAGTTAACAAGATTTCAATTCAAGCAACCAGGAAATGTCATAAACAGTAGCAATTCAGCCAACTAGAAGAAGCTGGTTTAAGAAAAAAAAAAATTCAATTTGAAAAATTTTAAGTTGGAGTTCTGACAAGACATCCAATCCATATAAAGATGTAAATTAAGTAATTGTTAGTGTGGGAATACTTCAGGAATAAGCTAAATTTTGCGGTCATCTTGATAGAGGCTGAAGATGAGGAATTCCTTGTCTATAGGAATAGGCAAGGTTATTCAGGAAGATAATGAGGAATAAGAATAAAAATGTGAAGACACACTTGGAGGAACACCTAAAGCTTGCAGGCAAAGTGAAGAGACAGAGACTGAGAAAGGAATGGTCAATAACCACAAAAACCATCTGGTTTTATGGCAGCAAAATACAGAGGTGATTTCATCACCACCTCTTCTTTTAGTTTGTTCTCCTGCTGCACCAACTTCGGTCAGAGACCCCTAATATTTCATTGCCTTTGTGGTGACAGGATGCTGAGTAGGAGTCCCCTGTTGCTCCTGAGTAACACAGATGAGCTCCAAGAGTCACTAAATACACAACATTGCCAAAAATCAGGAAAAGACGTCTTCTACCAGGTTCTTACTCAGAACTTGTAGAACCAGCCCTGCTATACTCCCAACAGGAAGTCATAGGCCAAAACCTTAGGATACTGCATAATCAACTTGAGCCTTTATGATATCTAGAGGAATAAACCACTGAAAAGGGAGAGAAGAAAGAGTTAAGGGATAAAGGTATTGATTGATGAGCAAGGTCTTTGACTAATACCATTCTCTTTATTTAAAAAATAGACTGTGTGAAACAAGCAATTTGTTTTAAGCACTAACATGAGCAAGCGAACTTGTTAAAGCATTTTTGGGAGGTCTAACTTAGACTCTTTAATGACAAGATCTCAAATATTTGGGCAAGAAGGAATGGATTTGATAACAATAAACCCAGGACTCCTTATCCTACTGGACATTTTCATGAACTGTAAAGAGAGGATTGTGGTGGCAAAGGCTAATGTAAAAAATGAATATTTGCAGGTATATTTTATCTCCTCCTTTTCAGGTCAGAGGTTACTCCTTCTACGATGTCATATTCCACACAGTGTTAATCATAGTGTCATGTATATCATAAGTGCCCAGAAAAACTTTACAAATCTATTAGCCTGTTATCTCAATTGATTTTGGGAGAAGCCTAGTGTTAGATAAAATTCACTAATTCATTGCAAAAATATTTGCTTAGCTTCCATGCCGAGAACTATTCTAGATCTTGGTACACCCTGATGAATAAAGCAGATGTCATCCTTACCCCATGGAGTATATAGAAGGAGTGAGGAGAAAGATATATAATTAGGAAATTATATACCAAATCGGGCAATAGGTTAGGATAGGTAACTTTGTAAACTGCTTCTTTGATTCCATCAGTCCATTCTAGATATATACTTTGTTCTCATCAAAAGGAAGAATATGAAAATAAGTTATAATCTCGTGGTAGATTGTATTAATGGCCCCCGTTCTTCACCACTACCAGTATCCATGCGCTTTATACCATGTGACTGTGCAATTCCTCCTAGTAAAGAGAAAGAATATTTCTCTGCTCCTTGACTTCAGATTGATCCATGTGACATGCTTTGGCTAACATTTAGGTATAATGTGACACCCTCCCATCAAAACATTGATGTGTTTTGATAGCACAACAGGGTGGCTATAGTCAATAATAACAACTGTACATTTTAAAATAAAGTAATTGGATTATTTACAACTCAACGGATAAGTGCTTGAGGGGATAGATACTCCATTGTTTATGATGTGCTTATTTCAAATTCATGCCTGTATCAAAACATCTCATGTACCCCATAAATATATACACCTCCTAGGTACCCACAAAAATTTTTAAAAATTAATATTAAAATAGACAAAAACAATTGATGTGCACATGTGTGACTGTCTTGCCTTCTTACATTTCTACCACAGCCAGGCCTAGCCCACTGGTCCCAGGAGGATGAAGAGAAGCACATTGAGCACAGTAGCCCTAGCCAGTTGCCGTAGATGAGCCCAATCTAGATCTGCTGACCTCCAGCTGACCCACAGACACATGAGCTTCATAAATGATTTTTATTTCATTGAAATACTGTGGTTGCTTGTTATGTTGCATTATTATAGCAACAATTGACTGGATACAACTTTATATCGACTTATCTTAATAGATCTTAATGTTCTGTTCATTTAATAGACGTGAATAGGCACTTCACATGTTGTAAAACACTGTAGTAGGATGTGCCTGGACATATAATTAGAAGTTCTAATTTCAAAAATGTAAGAAACTATAAAACCCAATAATATGAATTGTACAAATGGGAGAACCAAGTTGAACATGAGTCAACTTCTCATTACTAGACTCACCGAAGTAAAGTCCACAACTCAGCCCTAAGACCTTACTAAAATGTACTCTTTCCCAGACTGTCATATTGAACAGATCATGACATACAGAAGCCAAGGAAAACAAAATTCATGTTTTACTGGGTCCCACATGCTGTGATATTTTCAAACCCACATGCATCCACCAAGAAGCAGTCAAAATGTTTGATTCTGGAAACAAATCCATAACAAGAATAGAGTACAGAACAAAAATCAACTCAACAAGTCAACCCATATGTTTTTCATTTTCCTGTATTCTATGATGGAATTGAATGTGGTAAGTATACTTGGCTCCCAGTATAGGGACTTCCAGCTATTCTTTCTAATTTCATATTTACAGAGCCCTGTGTTACCCTTTGTCCTGCCCCTGAAATAGCAACAGAAGCGAAGAAGGTAATTGACCAAAGAGTAAATGTTGTACTTTGCTAGTGTAGTGGTCTTGGAGTCATGCTCCATGCCTAATGCAAAGTTCTCTGTGCGCTGTACACAAGTGGCTGGGATGAGCCAAATAAAGATAATGTACATCCATTACGGGGAGACGAGACCTCAGGCAATCACCATTGCAGTGTTGAAAGGAAATGCAATCAGACAGCCTTCCTTTCCTCTTTAAGTCTAAAGTAACATTTACAGATTTGTGCACAGTTTGGATGCTCATTTAAAGTTTGGTATCTAAACAAAAAGGAGAAAGTTTTCCACATAGTTTATAGTGTATGAGAGAATAAATATAAAAATATCGTATGCATTATAACATGCATATGTGAATGTGTGTATATATGTGTATATATGTATATATAAATGTTTGTAAACATATATGTTTACATAGAGAGTATATGTTAGATGCATTTACTCTAATATAGCTGTATGCACAGATATAAATCATGTATCCTCAACTATATCTCTACCAGAATTCCATACAACAATCTGACAGCATTCTCCACTTCAAATCTTTTCGAAGAAAGGTTTTATTTTTCATTTGTCCAGCTAAAATTTAGTGCAGCTCAGTGTAAAAAGAAGCCATTTCAAAACATTCTTCTGTGTGTTCAGAAGTAAGAACAGAGACTGTACTTCATCATACATATGTTACACTCCCAGACTATGTCTGTAGTGGATTTAGCAGAAAGCTACAGTGCTCCTGAGCAACACAGAAAAATCAATCACCTGCAGAGACATTTTGATTATCAATGTGCAAATACTGAAAGGTATCAGAATTACTTTAGAGAGGCTAGTCTTTAACACAATTATCAAGTAATGTTAAAATTCAAAGACTTTCAGACAAACAGTATTGCTATTTCTTGTTACTCATGGTCCATTTAGAATCTGTTTACCAGGTATATATTCCACAAACATATATTTATCAAACCATATGTTCAACAGTAAATATGTAAAGTCACAGGACAGGGCCAGTTGCAGTGGCTCACACCTGTAATCCCAGCATTTTGGGAGGCTAAGGTGGCAAGATCACTTGAGCTCAGGAGCTTGAGACCTGCCTGAGGAACATAGCAAGGCCTCATCTCTACTAAAAATAAAAAATAAAAAGAATTAGCCAGGTGTGGCGGTGCATGCCTCTAATCCCAGCTACTCAGAAGGCTGAGGCAGGAGGATCATTTGAGCCCAGGAGGCCAAAGGTGCAGTGAGCTATGATCACACCACTGCACTTCAGCCTGGGCAACAGAGAAAGACCCTGTCTCAAGTATATATATATATTATATATATATTATATATAAAAATATATAATATATATAATATATAATCTCTCTATTATATATAAAATATATATTATATATTATATATAAATATTATATATTATATATATTATATATAAATATTATATATAATATATATTATATATTATATATAAATATATATTATATAATATTTATATATAATATTATACATATATAAATAATAGAGAGAGAGAGTCACAGGACAATCTTTTTTAAATTTCACATTAAAATTTGCATGCTCTCATTGGGAATCATATAAATTTAAAAGCCTGTAACTTATTTTCATAGCACTAACATTATACAGGCTGTTTCTAAACCCTATTTCACTTAACATACCAAGCCAACACCTTACTCCAGAGTCTTTGAAATCAACTAATAATTTGTAAGACTCAATACTTGACAATATGCATGTATGTATACCTGACTATTACAGATGGACGGTGACTGATTCAATAGATGAATAAGTTATTCATCCTCTCAAAACATTTTATATTCAATAAAATTAAGTAACTAACAAGTACCAGTGGAATGCATGCTAGTGTAAACTAAGATGAATAATATACATGCAACTTTACTATGTTGTCAATATTACATTCACCCAACACATTTTCTCATTCATCAAAACATATATCAAACAAGCTCTGCTTCTTTGTAACAGCAAGATTTTTTTTTATTATTCATGTCTTAAAAATAATTTTTTCTTGTACTTTTATATCAATTGTTTGCTTTTACTTTGAACTTTTTTCATTATATCTTACCCCGGTCGTCTCAAAGATGAGCGTGTGGCTCTGGCCAATGATTCCTTCTTTCGTGGACTTGTTAACCCAACACAAGACAGGCCAGGAGGGCCCTCTTTAGAAATAATTCATCTTTTCTTAGCTCCCTGAACAGTAAAGTCACCTTATTAACCACATCAGACTCTGCATATTCATTCACACACACACACACACACACACACACACACACACTGATATGTAGCTATTAATGCTATGCATTAATCAAGAGAAAACCGATGTTCAGAACACACTCCACTTTATCTCTCTGGCAGGCTTCTCAACATCTGATTTCAACTCTTTTTAAGTGTTCCAAAGGAACTTTATTAATACTGTAGAGAAAGACTCCTTTTACTCCCTTAAATTTACTGATAACCAGGTAAAACTCATTGAACAATCAAATCCTAGAGAAAGCCTCTTGAAAAGTCTGTAGAGGACATCAAGGAAATGGAAGTCACACAACAGCAATAACACCCTGATTGCATTCTATGCTAGCTCTAGAGCCTCCCTTCTGAACAGACACAGCAAAGTGTTAATGAAAAATCTGTTTCAGCTGTGATGAGAAAAATATTTCAAAATCCATAAAATTGCTGCTTCTGTTATGCCCACACTTACAATGGTTTAAAATTTAAATCTTTAATAATGCTACAAATGTCTGGGATGCTTTCCTGAAGACTTCTAATATGTACATTTGTGAAGAATCTCAGATTCATGAGATTAGTCTTGTGCTTGAAGCCAGGATAATACAGTACAGCTCTTCCTCTGAACACTAAACACTTCCCTGTACAGCATTTACAAATTGCAATTGGTTACTGAATCTAAATAAGACCCTATTGGGATAGCAGGGAATATTTTAACATGGAGGTGCACAGGTAGAAGGAGATAAACTGTTAGTTTGAGATTTGATGGGTGCAGCCAAGTTCAGATCTTTTCTTCACTTTCTATTTCCTCCTTAAAGCACTTGACATTTTTTTTATAAGAATTACCTAGTATTTTTAAAGAATGCAAAGGATCTTTAGTCAACTCAAAGAAAAATGTTTTATAATTTTACTTATTAACACATTTCATTATTTCTGACTTTAATTTTAGAGTGATAATTGGCAAAATCTAATAGATCCCTGTCATGTCTTTATCACCACGATGTGTACTTCTGGTACAGAATTGGAATTACATTTCTTTTGTTTTTCTTTTTCTAGAGACAGGATTTTGCCATGTTGCACGAGTTGGTTTCGTACTCTGGGCTCAAGGGATCTGCCTGCCTTGGCCTTTGCAAGTGTTGGGATTATAGGCATGAGCCACCGTGCCCAGTCAAAATTGGAATTGCATTTCTGAAAACGGCACTGTAAATACAAATGAGATCTATATTTAATCTTATTTGCCCCTGAGAAGCAAAGTTATGATATAGTATTATTTTCCAGAAAAAAAAAACTAATGCCTTTTTATAGAAATGAATACAAAGATTTTTAAAACAATACATGAATATAGTAATCCAAATAAGTATATATTTATAGTTGCCATCAGAGATATTTACAAACACTATGGTTAGCTCTCCTTCCTAGCATGGGTTAGGATTGTATTTCCCTAGCCCTTGGAAGCCAGCATGGTCATGGGACTTCATTTGGTCAACGAAGTCACTTGGGATTGGAAGCATTAAAAGGTAGTGTGTAATTTACCATGACTCTTGTCCTCTGCCAGGGTGACTGGAAATGCTCAAGAAGAAGCCTGCTCTCCTAGCCTGGGTACTAGAGTAAGAATAAACTGCAGCAAAAGCACCAGCTGACCTATTACATAATATACATGGACTGTCAGCAAGAAATACACCTTAGTTATTTTAAACTGCTGAGATTTCAGGACTGTGGGTTATCACAGAGTAACCTAGCTTAAACTAACTGACACACACCTTCTACATTAAAGTATAAAGCTTTGTAAGAGGCAGCTAAATCATCAAGTAACCAATCACACATTGTTGGCTTATTTTCAGGAGCAATATATGAAATGGTAACTTCCTTCCATTATTCACTTTCCATCTTCCATCGTCGAAGTCTTTCTCCAGCAGCTCCTTTCACACAACAATCAGATGTGCTCAAGCCTCACTGCTGGTGAGACACTTCCTTCAGTCTTTCCATGCCTAGGAGTTAACTTCTTTTCACTGCCAGCATTTCTGAAAGCATAGTCTACAATCATTGCTCCACTTCCATTTTACCTCATGCATTCTGGCAATTTTATCAAAGAATTTTGAATCACCAAATCCATGGCTCTTTGCTTTTTCAATTTTTCCTTCTTTTATTTCTGATATGGTATCATTTTGGTTCTCTCCTAACGTATCTTTTGTGGGGTTTTTTTGAGACAGTCTCTCTCGGTCGCCCAGGCTGGAATGCAATGGCACAATTTTGGTTCTCTGCAACCTCCGCCTCCTGGGTTCAAGTGATTCTCCTGCCTCAGCCTAGCTGGGACTGCATGTGTGCACCACCATGCCCTGCTGATTTTTTGTATTTTTAGTAGAGATGCGGTTTCGCCAGGTTGGGCAGGCTGGTCTCCAACTCTTGAGCTCAAGTGATCTGCCCACCTTGGCCTCCCAAAGTGCTGGGATTACAGGCGTGAGCCACTGCACCCGGCCTCTCCTAACATGAATCTTCTAAGTCTCCTTTGTTAGTTCTTATTTCTCTATGTGTAAGTATGCCTCAAGGTCTTTTTCAGATCTTTCATCTCTTTTTCATTTCTCCCCAATAATCTCATTCACTTGTATAGCTTCAGCCCTCACTGTCATGTATACATGATTCCCAAAACCCTCTATCCTAAATTTGTTTCCTGAGTATTAGGTTACTTGATATATATATCTCCTACCCATATCACTAGAACCACAAAAATCAACTTATATTTTTGAATATTTATTTCCCTCCTGTCCTTTCTTCATTGATATTCTCAACAAGTCTCAATACATCAATGTCATCTTCAATAATCTTATCTTCCTCACTAACCACATTCAATCAGTTCCCAAATCCTATCTCTGTTCAGTACTAACTTAACACAAGACTGCTATGAAAATATGAAGAAGGCTATCTTTTCTGTTGGTATGCACTTGGTCCAGTAATTTATGATAAAGAATAGAGTTTAATAGAAAATCAAATCCAATAATATATTAAAAGAATTATACTCCACAACCAAGTGGGATTTATGCCAGGTATAAAAGACCAATTTGACATTTAAAAATCAATTAATGAAATCCACCACACAACAGGCTAAGAAAGAAAAACAATACAGTCATATAAATAGATGCAGAAACAATATTTGACAAAATCCAACACCTATTCATTATAAAAACACACAGCAAACTAAGAATAGAGGGTAACTTTCTCAACCAGAGAAAAAACACCTACAAACAACAAACTATTAACATCACACTTAATGGTGAGAAATTAAGAAGCTCTTTCTCTAAACTCAGGAGCAAGGCAAGAATGTCCCTTCCCACCACTTCTATTCAATATCACTGGAAGTCCTAACTAATACAATAAGACAAGGAAAGGATATAAGAGGCATATAGACTGGGAAGGAAAACTTACAACTGTCTTTTCCACAGATTATATAATTGTTAACATAGAAAATCTGAAAAATCAACAAAAACTCCTGGAACTAATAAGCAATTATGGCAAGGTTGCAGGATATAAAGTTAAAATGCAAAGTCAACAGCTTTCTTGTATACCAGCAATGAACAATTAGAATTTGAAATTAAAAATAAAAACCACTTATGTTACCACAAATTTAAAAGAAAGATACAAATCTAATAAAATATGTACAAAGTCTGCATCAGAGAAGCTACCAAACTGGTGAAAGACATCAAAGAACCAAATAAATGGAGAGATATTTCATGCTCCTGAACAGAAAACTCAATATCCTTAAGAAGTCAGTTCTTCCCAACTTGATTTATAGGTTCAATGCAATCCCGATCAACTTCCCAGCAAGTTATTTTGTGAATACTGACAAACTAAATCTGAAGTTTATATGAAAGGGCCAAAGACCCAGAATAGTCAACACAATAATGAAGAACAAAATCAGAGGACTGATGCTACCCGACTTCAAAACTTACTATAAAGCCAGAGTTATCAAGACAATGTAGTACAGGCAAAAGAACAGACAAATGGGCCAAAGGAAAATAGCCTAGAAACGGGCCCACACAAATATAGCCAATTGATCATTGACAAATGAGCAATGGCAACTCAATGGAGAATGTTTTTTCAACAAATAGTGCTGGCATGACTGGATATCCATATGCAAAAAAAAAAACAAAAATGAATCCAAACACAGACCTTACACCTTTCACAAAGCCTAACTCAAAATAGATAACTGACCTGAATGCAAAATGCAACACTATAAAACTCCTAGAAAATAACACAGGAGAAAATCCATGTGATCTTGGACTTGGTCATGAATTTTTAGATACAAAACTGAAAGCACTATCCATAAAAGAAAAAACCAAAAACTTGGACTTCATAAAATAGTATGTAAATTAGTTTGTCAGTATTCACAAAAGACACTGTTAAGAGAATGAAGGGACAAGCCACATACTGGGAAAAATATTTACAAAATAGATTATCTATCGATCAATTGATCATTCTATCTACAGATACATATCTATATTTTATATATGTGTGTATACCTATATCTATAGAGATATCTAGCTATATGGAGATAATAATACTTTTGTAGATACATAGACATCTATATCTTATAAAGATAGATAAGTGGCGAGAGGGATATCTACATCTGTACAGATATATGGATATGTTGGAGAGGCAGCCAGGGGAGAGAAAGAGAGAAGCAGGAGGAAGGAGAGAATGAGAATGAATAATAGCAGTAAAGGGGTGTAAAAAAAATCAAAGAAATAAAACCTTCTTCCCCCAAAAGTCCTAGAACTAGAGGATGTTGTAGATGGAAAAGTCCCTGGCCCCAGGTCCCACCTTCATGACTAAATAAAGACTCACACAAAACCATACCATACTGAAATTTCAGAAAATTGTAGTCAAAGGAAGCTTCACAAAATTACAGATAGAAAAACAGGATGCATATGAGGGATAATCAGGATGGCATCAGAATTCTCAACTATAATAATGGAAAGCAGAAGACAAGACGAGCCATGCCTTCAAATTTTAAAACTAGAATGATTTCCAAAGTACAATTCTTTACTAACTAGACTAAAAATCAGATATGTCAACCAAACAAAGACATTTTTGGAAATGAGAGTTCTCAAAAACTTTACCTCTCATCTGCCCTTTCTCAGAAATTAAGAGCTGATGGAGTCCACCAAATCCAGAGCCTCCCCCAAAGAAGAAGAAATGGGACCCAGGAAGGAGGAAGGAGAAACAAAAGGAATTCACAGGATGATGCTGAGGGGAAGCTTCAGGAAAGCAATTTCTAAGGCCAGAGACCACCAGTCCAGAGGGAGAACTGAGAACTCCCGCAGGATGCCACCAAGAAAACAAACAAAAAGAATCCTACAGGTTGTCTGATTTTACCATAGTGATGAATTTGATAGCTTTAGCAGAGTATCTTAGGGTGAAATAAATAGTAAAGGGTGCATAGAAAAGTAAGAAAATAAATAAAAGTAAAGCAATGTTTAATTCCAAGGGAAAAATTTAATCATGGAACAATATGGCCCAATTGTGACAAATTTCCACTTAATTGTAATAAAATCAAATAATTATTTGTGGTTCAATAAACATCAGTGAATATTTTATTATGATTAAATAGAAATTTGCCACAGTTGGGTCATATTGTTCTATGATTACAGCTAGATTGAAAGGGCAGGGAAGATACACTTGTGTTTTGAGTGAAGCAACTGCAGGAATAACAGAATAAAATCTTCATCTATAAAAGCCAGCTATCAATGGAAAACTTATAATACACACTTTTTAAAATAAAAAAGTAGTTCTGCAAGCTTATTATTAGAAATAGGAAGGTAAATAACAGAAACAGCAGCTAAATGATTTCAAGTTGTTGCTTCTATAAAACAGAAATTGAGGGTGGAGGGAAGGTGTGGTAGAAAAACACTCTTTTATCATAATCATCATGAGTTTTAAAACTATATACCTATATTAATGTCATTTAAAATTTCAAAGGAAAATATTATATCCTAAAGGATCCCAAAGTGGCTGGATTACTCCAACTTGAAATTTGACATTTTTATATAGGTTATCAGTTTCGCATTATAATTTGAGATAATAATTCTGAAAGACGTTGTATGAAGGAATCAGAAAAAGGCCACAACCAGAAAGCTCTTTTCCGCCCATGTCTTAGGAATAATTTGGAAAAAATGGCCTATATAATAGGCACACTCTTTTATTACAGCCAGAAAAGCAAAATACAGTAATGGTTATTAACAAAACAAAAACAACTACCACCAGCAATAGTGTATTCAGATAATAATTTAAATATTACATTGAGATTAAATGACCAATTATGCCATTTAAGGAAATAGAAACCATAAGGAACTTTTGTTTTATAGAAACAATCTGCTTACAGACACAGCATGACTACTTTGTTTCAACAACAGAAAGCAGGAAGAGATTTGATATTGTCTATCCTGCAAACGAAAACATTTTTTAAGGTATTTGAAAGAAATTTATTGTTAAAGGTGTTACAATACCTACCAAAGACAAAAAAATGGAAAACACACACCCGGGACCCCAAAAATTATTCTTAGTACTCTGGGAAAATTCTCAATGGGAATTTTTATCATTACTCTGTCTTGCAGCTAAACGGCAGTTCTGATTCTACCATGGCTGATAAATTTGATTTTGTACTATAGAGTAGATAAGTAAATTCGCAATGCTTCCACAAAACTTTACTATCTTAGTGTGTGTGTTACCACTGTGTGATTGTTCCAATATAAAATATTAAGGAGCATGGCAAAAAGTGTTGAACTTATCTTTGCCCTTATAAGAAATACATAATTCATTATCGTAATGGTTCAGCTACATCATGTGTCTCCACTGAATTATGGAAAATCTGTTAGAGAACATGCATTCATCAGCAATATTATCCAGAAAGCATGCTGAATAACATTGAGCTCTAAAACAATCATAGAGTTGATACATATCTTAAAATAGATTAAATATTTTCCACAGTATGTTTCTGTGCTGGAGAATGCTGGTTTTTCAATATCCATTCTTTCTTGCTTGCTTCAGTAATCAGCCCTTCACATTTTAGCTGGGCATATGGCTGCCTAGCTAAAGACTACGTTTCCCAGCCTCCCTGAAGCTGGATGCGGACACGGGACTAATTTTGGCCAACGGATTGTGGACAGACATTGACATATAGGACTTCTGGTTTGTGCACTGAAAAGTAAAGAGCAGGTTTCCCACTGCTTCTTTCAGAGTCCCCACAGATTGGAAAATAAAAACAGTCATCTTAGACAATAAAACGAAAGCCTCAGATCAAATACAGAAGACATTAGGATCCTGGGTTCCTGATACTGTCAAGCTTCCAGGCCACCCCTGATCATTTACCCAGACTTACAAGAGGGGATATAAACTTCTATCTTGATTGTCATTGTATTTTTAGACTATCCGTTACCTCAGAAAAATCTGTATCCTATCTAATAAAGTTTCACCTAACACTTTCCTGAAATATAATTCAGGGGCTCTTGACAACATACTAAATTTGCCAGACACCTTTTTTCCAAAGAGTCCAATTCCCTTTCCATAATTTTACATCACTTTTCTTCACAGTGTCTCTGATGTAATTTAATAACAATGCTTTAAGATTGACCTAACCCCCAGATTCCATGACCCCAGTGTTCACGTCAGGCTGCTTTCTGCCCTGGAAAACAACATCTGGTTCTGTTTCATACTCCTGGGCAAGCTAAATTCCCAGTTTTCAGGGACCAAGAACAAGATTATTTTAACTCATTTTTCAGAAAAAAAAATCTTTTTCATTCATAGTCCTTGCAATTCACCAAAAACACACTTAATATATAAGATTAATAGACAGCAACTTACGGCTTTTCTCTAACGTTATCTTATGGCATAAAACAGTTAATATCCTTCTACTGTACACACCTTACCCATAATAAATAGCTTTCTCATATACTAAAGACAGGTTCAGATATTTATAAAGTACTTTTATCTATTCAGAGAGAAAAACACTATAAAACATAAACATTCTGTGGCTCTCAGGTTTCCCCAGCACCCTATCTTCTCTCTCCATAAAAATGGGATAATTATAACTGCCACAAACTATTGCGTGCTGATGTTATGAAAATAAATGAAATAACCAATATATGAAAGCATTTTGTGCTCTTAGGAAGAATAAATCCACCTTAAATCCAAGAAGGTATAATTCTTTATAATGTTTTCCAGGGATTTGCTGAACAGCCCTAGAGAGGTCATTACCCACAACAAACTTTTGGTACTGAAGGACCACCTTTCTAACAAAAATCTCATCTCTTGCACCTGACAACACTTTTCGATTAATTAGGGGTAGGTCCAGATGCTGCTCTATTTGGCCATCTTCAGTGCTCTAAAAGAATCCAGATTTTTTACTTCAATGTCTTGCAACAACTGAAATGAACAAAAAGCTCTCTAAATCACAGGTTTCAGTTGACAGGTTAACAGTGAAACCCATTTCAGTCAACTTCAAATGCAAAGCAGATTTGGCAAGAACCAGGGTGGGGATGAGTGGGAAAAACAAAGCCCTGGTGGCAGTCTGACAACTCCCTCACGTCTACTGTCTGCTGTAATACATCAGCGACCTCTGAGGACCCAGCCAGTCAGCTGAGCTTGGCCTCCAACTCAACCAAATGAACGTCTTTTAGTTGGCATTCCTTCATTACGTATAGAAATCTGCTTTAGGTATATAGCTTCAGCAGATAATTTAGAAATAAGAATTTATGGTTGTAAATTAAAAAGCCAAAATTGTATGAATCTGACTCATAAATCACAGTCCTTACCCTAATATCCAACACTTTAATGACTCTGGCTAACTTCCTATTTACCTTGTGCTGGGGTTAACTAACAGACTTCTTTGCTTTTAGGGGAAGAGCCAAATGTTTCTGCACACCCCATGCTGTTTTAGGAAGCTGCCAAACAAAGAAATAAGGAGTGTGCCAGCTGCCTCTGTACCTCACTGTGTGTATATGTGATACAGCTGAGTCAAAGCATCCCATATCAGATCATCAATTAGCTGTGGGTGATGTGGAGGCGGGGGAGCTTTAACATCTTGGCAGTCTTCCTGGAGCATAGTTACAGTGATGTAAGGTAATATCAGAGCTGGAGTGATTTGCAAGAGGATCACTGAGGTCTTCAACACAGTTCTACTCTCACTCCTGATGGCTTGTCCCTGAGGTTTCTATCACTGACAAAACACTTAAGATATAGCTCGGGTGTTGAATGTCACTTTTCATTGAAATTTCTCAAAATACTAATTTTCTAGTGCATGGTTTTCCCTCAAGCCAATGTTTTTAACAAGAAAACACTGCTTATATGTTCAGATAAGTGTTAAAGAAAACAGAAATGACAAGTTTTGAAATAAGCACTACACATTGCCCCATAATTCAAAATGTGTGCTAATTCTATTTACAACTTAGTGACTACTAACCATACCTGTAATTGCTCATTAAAAAATATTTAGGATGCTGAAAAGTCAGAAACAAAAGAAAGTAAACATTCAATTTATAATACACCAAATACTTAAAGTTATGTTTTATAAGTCAATCCTACCTACACCATGCTAGCAATAAAGTATACTCTATTAAAGAATTGCTTCTCAATGTGATACTTTGAAAATGGTTGCCAAGACACTCTTAAACTTTTTCCAAAATCATTGAAAGACCTCTTCTAGTCTTTCTAAAGCAGGCTCAATGTAATCACCACTTTTCCTAGTGATCATAAACTAGGTTGTCCTGCAGCTTAACAGAGCATTATAGAAAGAAAGAGACACGCATATATACGCACTCTGTATGCCCTCTGCTAATTCCAACACAGCATGCAATATGCAAATCACAGCACAGGAACAGCTAAAACATAATTAACAACTCTGAAATAAGTCTTGCATTTTATCTACCATGCATCAGTCTGGGCAAAACTACTTTGACTTAAGGAATGAGTTCCATCTACGAGGTAGCTCTTATGCTTGTGAATCCGAGCAATCCAGCACACCAAAAATAATGAAGTCATTTATCATATTCTTTCCATCCACTTTCACTCATCCATTCAACAAACATACACTGAGGAGTCTCTTTTTAGCAGACGCTGTTCCACGCCCTAAGGATGCAGCCTCCACCTCACTCTGCACTTCAGAATGTGGAGAACCCTGAAGGGAACATTTTTTTTCCAAGAAAGAAGATATCAGTTAATAAAAAAAAAAAAAACAAATTATTAAATCTCATTCAGATAGTTTAAAAACAGGAATTTTTCTCAACAGTTAATCACTATCTACATAGTGATTTCAGATTTTTTTAACTTTTAATATACTGTTTTATAAAAAAGATTATTAGCTTCACTGAACAAACTACAAAGAACCACATTACGAAGGAAAGTGATAACTCAGATAAATGATTTTGTTTCCATTTTAGAGAGGAGGCACACATATACATGAGTCCACATAACTTTCCTATATCTTACCAAGTTGAATTTTTTTAATACTAAGCTACAGAGAGCAGTAGCATGTGACACAACCATCTTACATAGAATACAAAGTGCCCTGAAGAGGATCATTCTCCACTGCGTTTTCTCTATTCTCACTTACACTCAGAAACATAAACCAGACTGTTTCTTACACTTATCTACCTCCTGCTTTTAGCACTGTGCTGAGAAAATAGGGAGTATATAATAAACAGTAGATAATTGAATGAAATGTTTTATTATTGTGCTTTTCATTATATTCACTGAATATTTCTTCCATTTACATGACAAAGAATGTTATGTAGGGGCATTGCTTTTGCAGGTCCTCTTCCACTAGATATACTGGTAAAGCAAGATGACCTTCAATTAATATTTTCAAGTAACTTTAACAGCCTAGGTGAGAGTTACATGCAACAAAGAATGGCACCAAAACAATGGGTTAAGGTGAACACTGCTCTGTACATATTCAGAATAAGCTAGTATCTATTTCTATTTCCAAAAGCAGATGAAACTAATCACATAACAATGCTGAATAGTAAAGATTTCATTTTTATTCCAAACAACTAGATAGGAGATAATGCCAGAAAAAAAAAATGAGAGTTCCTAACATGTTCATATGCGTCTGAATAACCCAGTCAACTCCTTCAGAGATGAAATATCATCCAAATCAATGAGAGTTTCTCTCAATAAAAATACAGGCAACATTAAAATGTAAAATTAAACAGAAAAGATTAACCAATCAACTCTATTTCTTTCCAGACACAAAGCAGTAAATTTTAGTATCTTTGGGGATATTTATGAGATTCATAAAACAGAATTGAACATGTTATTAGTAACAACATTAATAAATTTCCCTCACTTTATTTTCAAAAACCTTCAGTAAATAATTATTATCTTTGAAATACAGACTATTTCTACGTAATGTATATAACTCACAGAAAGGAGTATATAATGTCCCCACTGTTTACTACTGTATCTTATGTTTTCATTGGAAATACTTGCTCTCAAGAGTAAACCTCAAGCCTGGAGAGGTGGCTCACGACTGTAATCTCAGCACTTTGGGAGACTGGGCTGGGCGGATCATTTGAGGTCAGAAATTCGAGACTAGCCTGGCCAACATGGTGAAAACCCATCAACTAAAAATAGAAAAATTAGCCAGGCGTAATGGTGGACACCTACAGTCCCAGCTATTCGGGAGGCTGAGGCAGGAGAATTGCTTGAACCTGGGAGGCAGAGGTTGCAGTGAGCCAAATTAGCACCACTGCACTCCAGCCTGGGTGACAGAGTGAGACTTCATCTCAAAAAAAAAAAAAAGTAAACATCAAAATTCAGTATATGGTTCTTGTTAGGTATTAATTTCATTATAGCTCTGTGATGAAACAATTTGGGAAGGGAAAAGGGAGGGTGCAACATAAAGGAGCGAAGCCTCAAAAAAAAATCACTAAGAGGTAAAAGGCTCCTACTAGTATCAAAACAAATTGCAATATGGTTGTCAAAAAACTCCATTTTATATTGAATAACTGTAATGTTTTATATTGAAATTTTCACAATTTTAATAAAATTGTCTAAAACCTCTGAATGTCTCTGCTCTTCTACTTAAAATTTTAAAATTCACTTCTGTTCCAAAAGAGATAATGGTCTAAGTTCAAAATAGTCGCTCTCTCTTTTAAGTTTCTGCCCACCTTACAAAACACTGCAGAATGCAGTCTACCTGTAAGATACCTTCCAAGATACTGGCAGGCAAGATGAGCCAGCATATTCCAACAGACAAAATTGCAATGTGATCTTATTTTGCTTCCCACCGTTTTTAACATTTACACAGTGGGTGAAGTTCTTCCCCTTCCATGGCTGAAAAATCATACAATCGTGACCTTTTTGATAACTCTTATGTAATAAAATGCCTATATTTTCTTTAGGTTGCAAAATACAGTCTCAATCTGACCCCTAGAAAGTGAGTCTCCTGCGATAATTAAGTGATGCCAACATCACTCCATGTTCCAGCTGTTTCCCCTGTTCCTGGATAAAGCCTCCCACCTGGGAATAGATAAAGCAAATGTGGTATATATACAGCATGGAATCCTACACAGCCATAAAAAAGAATAAAATTATTCCCTTTGCAGCAACACGGATGGTGCTGGAGGCCATTATCCTAAGCGAGTTAACACAGGAACAGAAAACCAAATACCGCATGTTCTCAATTATAAGTGGGAGCTAAACACTGAGCACACATGGGCACAAAGAAGGGAACCACAGACACCGGGGCCTACTTGAGAGTGAACGGAGAGGAGGGTGGATGAGAACTGAAAAACTACCTATCGGGTACTATGCTCATTATCTAGGTGACAAAATTATCTGTACACCAAATCCCCTGTGACACACCATCTACCAAGGTAACAAACCTGCATTGCATATGAACCTAAAATAAAAGTTGAAAAGAAAAAAGAAAATATTTTTAAATACATATATATATATTGTGTGTGTGTATGTATATATATGAAACAATATATATGTATATATATGAAACTATATATATATGAAACTATATATATATATATATATATATATATATATATATATATGAAACAATTAAAAATACAAAAAGTATTTTTTAAAGCCTCCCAGTTAGGAAGGGCAAGAGAGACACTTTTCCTTTCTGATCATCTCCTATCCTGTTTGCTAGCTGTTCACTCTGAGCCTTCCTTAATGTTCCTTAATGTTCCTTAATGTTCATTCTGAGCATTAAGAGATGGGGAGTGATAGGGAGAAGAGGTATGGGGAGCAAGACGTTCTTACTTAAATTACCTGGCATTGTCATCAGTGGGCATCCCATTCTATGAACCTGGAAGATATTCAGAAAAAAAACTTAAAAAATAAAAAAAAATTAAAGATGTTAAGAGAAAGAAAAGCTCTTTCATTAGCAGGATGCCTATGAAAGATTTTAGAGACATTCCGTTGCTGGAGATTCTTTGACCCTGCCAAATACGTTTCTAATCTGGTTGTTTGTTTAACTGTTTAACCTCTTTCCAAACCCTAAGGAACCCAAAGATCCAACTGGAGCTTCCACCTGCTATGGTCTGTTCAGAATTCCAGGCAACCATGTTGACCAATGTGTAATATTATTTCACAATGCCTCGACCTGAAGAATGCTATAGCAGGAGAAAGAATGTGGGCTTTCACAGTCATAAGACCTGTATTTTGAATTCCAGGCCCTTTATTTCCTGATTGCCCTTGGAGTAACTAACTCTGAGTCTCAGTTTCCTCATCTATAAAACAATATGTTATTTTAATATTTTAAATAATTCTCTAGTCATGACTCATAGAAGGGCATTAAGAATTGGAAGACCAATTACACAGAACACAGAGGAATGATGATCTGGTTATCCATTGCTCATAGCAAACCACCTATAAACTTAGTGATTTAAAGGAATAATTTATTATTATCCTATGGTTGTGTGGCCTCATCTGGGTAGTTCTCTGATATGGTTACAGATGATGGCTAAGATTTCAGTCATTTGAAGCCTTACCTGGGCTGGACATCTAAGATGGCTTATGCACCTGGCCAGCAGCTAATGCTAGCTATCAGCTAAGTGTTCAGCTGACCTGACAACCAAACCACCTACACATAGACTCTCTATGTGGCTTGGCATTATTATGATATAGAGGCTGAGTTCCAAAAGGGAGCCCTCCAAGAGCAAGCATTCTAAAAGTCCTATTGGGAGGCTGAATGCCTTTATAGAAGTTAGTGCATGACATCACTTCTGCCACACTTTATTGGTTAAGAAATCAAGGCAAGTCCAGATTAAAGGAGAGGGAAATTAAACTCCATTTCATGATATGAAGACAGTATGCCCATGTCAGAAGGGAATCAACTGTTATATAGACTATCTACCACAAATGACTGTGGAGGAAAGTGGAAAGCCAAGGAAGGGGGAAAAGTAGTACCCATGAGTTCCCTAAAATGAGATGTATATGAGGATAAAATTACAAGTTCTGAAATTTTTTATCTTTTGCTTTTAAAATTTCTAATTGTTGTACAGAGTAAATACAATAGCAGTACTCTGGTACATGTATGGTACATGCTCAAAAAATTTCAGTAACAGGAATGAAGGCAAGGAATTATCTGTCTTCTGCGGCAGAAGACAGTAAGAGAGTATAAGAATTAGTGACATAGGTCCCTACTTGTTCTTCACCACATATATAGGAGAAATATTTGCTTTTCATAAGTAATAATAGAGATGTATAACCTAAAATATTTGGAGACCACTGACAGGGTGTCCTGTTTCTGTCCAGACATGGGGATGACTTCAAGTGTACCACAAGGGATTCATGCATCAGTATGTGCTTAAAAACAGAAAAAGACTAAAAAAGCTAGAATGAATTTCTAGAATACTAATTATTAAATCATGGTATCTATTGACTTGCTTCTATTGTTTTGGAATATGACTAGCAGAATCTAATCTAAGATGACAGAAGTGCCTGAGTATCTATATTTTTACTGAGATAATACTAATCATAAGAAACATATGTGGTAGATTACAGACAGCTGCAAAGTATGCAACACTCCTCCCATTAAAAGATGAGATCCATGTTACCTCTCCTTAAATCTTAGTGGGCTCTGCGACTATTAATTGACCAACAGGATATGGCACAAGAGATGCTGAACCAGTGTCTGGGCCTTAGGATGCTGGCAGCTTTCACTTTCTGTCTTTTCGTGATACTTGTTCTTGGAAACCAGCTGCACGCTGTTGAGGGAGCCCAAACATCCCAATGGGGAGGACCATGTGGGGAGGAACTGAGAAGCCTGGTCAACAGCCCATTTAATCTCCCAGTTAACAGCACCAACTTACCAGCCATGTAAGTGAGTCATCTTAGAAATGGATCCTGCAGCCCCAGTTGAGCTATCCCAGTTGATGCCACATGAAACGAAGTCAAATCCTATCCAAATTGCAGGTTTGTAAACAAATTAATGATTACTGTTATTAGAAATCATCAAGTTTTAGGGTGGCTTATTATACAATGCAATGTCCTAACCTTAGCTGTCCAAATTGTAAGTTTAATATTGCCTTTCTCCAGTAAAGTAAATAATGAGCTTCACCTAACATGAGAATCTACCATCATATTTTATGGTGAGTAATTCAACAGATCTAAGCTATGATGTGACATGCTATCACGTAGATAGTAAAAATAGTGCCCCTGACATGATCACCTTCATCTCTGAATGTGACCCTACTGTCACACATCAGAAGGTTGAGTCCCCCATAGTCATCATAGATTAGCCTCAACCCACCCTCAGCCGTTTGCCTGATTTCTCCCTGTAACCAATGACATCTATTGGTAAGATTAATGATCTGGGCTTTAAAGACAGTATGATACGTGATTATGAAAGGGAATAAAACTTCAGACTCATAGGGCCTAATCTGTGTCCTCAGCCTCATAAATGGTCCATTTTGACCAATTTAACCTCAAACAAATTAAAAAAAAGTAACAGAAAAACATATTGAAAACTTCATAAAATCAATTAGGTTGTTTCATACAATAGCATTAAAATGAGGCTCCACTGTAGTGAACCAAAAACATCTAGAGGCCATATAGACAGTGTTATACCTTAACTTTATAATTACTATTTTATATACATGGTCTATGGGAAACTGGGAGTAGTCACCAAGTCAATCTACATTGTTTATGTACAGTAACACTAAGAAACACTAGTAACACTAGTAACCAGTAACACTGAGAAAAGTCCTAGATTACCAACTTTGTTAGAAACACTAATAGTCGCTTTAAAATTATTTAAATATACATTTTTTTATTTTCCTGCAACAGTACTATGAACATCCCCATTTGGAGATATATAAATATATATACATATATATAATCTAAAACAAGTTACGTGTTGGACAGGGGCCAAGTGGAGAAAAAAGTATCAATGCAAGATGAAACATACAACAAAAGGGAAGTCAGGAACCATCTACCCTGTGCTTCCAGAAAGCAGAAGAGATCAGAACTGGTGATGTTAGTCTGAGTCAAAGATGCCAAAAAGATGCCAAAAGGACCTGAGGAAGTGCTCTGTGAAAGCCATGGTTACCCTTTGATCTCACCATGGCTGGCATAGCGCTAACGAGACAGAGCTTGACAGGTTTCATTCTGGTTTAGTCTGGTGCTCAGACTAGCAGCAGATTCATTTCATAATTTTTAACATGACATAGAAGAAAGCCTAAACGTACAATCTTCCTGTGTGTCTGGAGATTTTTCCCTTAGCTTGATGCATTGCCTTTTGATGAACATTTATCTCAGCAAATCTTATTTCTGTACACTAAGGAATTTTCTAGTTCTAGAAGAGCTTTTAAATCCTTTGGCAGAGATTCACTCATCCTAGTAAAACAATAGCTGGCAGATACACACAGTCTACAGGAAATCAGGGTAACAAGTTAGGTCATTTTTTAGGTGAGCTACTTAGCAAACTTTGATTTGTCCTTCACAAAATGAAGATTTGTTTTCTTAAATGAAAGTACACAATTTCTTTTTATTCTCTATTCTAAAAGTCAATAAACAAATCATCAAATAAAATCTGGTTTATACCAGCTTTCATGACTCACATCTGGGCTATGTAGCTCACAACAATATTTTCCACCATAATATTTCTGTAAAAATAATCCTAGAACATATTAAATCCAAAGAAAACAATATAGTTTATTTGGAGGTCAGTCATCAACACTTACACTAAAACTTTTCTCACCTCCCTATAATTTTGATAACTGACCTTTAGTCAGTAAGATATAAGTATGTAGAATATGTCTTTAAAACAACTAATTAGACTATATTCTGTTATTTTGCCTTGAGATCAGGAGGAAAGATGTAAGTAAAGTCAAATCTGAATTAACTCCTCCCCATATACCAATCAGCTGCTAGTTCTTTGTTACCTAAGAATGCCTTCCACATTGTATCAGGATTTCAGAGAAAGTCCCATGAGGGCAGAGGCCACCTTTTCTTGCTCACCATTGCATCCTCTGACCTAACACAGCTCCCGTCACCCAGTAAGCACTTAGCACATATTGGGAGGATGAATACAGCATGAGACCCTCCTCAAAGCGATCTTTTCTACATTCTAAAATCAAATCTATATTAGCACCCCTCCTCTGACTTAATAAATTATTTATAGAAAGACCTTTTTAATACGTTACATGTGTGAGTCAGCACATTGGGTTCAGATAGGTATGTGTAGCAGGGCAGCTAGCTTGCACTGACCATCCAGTCTGAAATGTACCTCTCACCCACATGCCATCCCCCTCTGCCCCCATATCTCTTGATCCTCTTTCCTTGTTTTATTGATCTTTGTAAAAATTATTCTCAAAGATGTTCTATATGTTAAATGTCACTTGTCTATTGACTTAGAATATAAGTGCATGAGATCAGGAACTTTGTGTCACTCTATCCGGTGTTCCTACTGCCTAGGAAAATGTCGGGCACACAGCAGATGTTCATTTTATGTAATGGATGGATAGGAAGGAAGGAAGGAAAAAAAGGAAGGAAGGAAGGAAGGAAGGAAGGACGGAAGGAAGGAAAGACGGAAGGAAGGAAGGGGGGGCAGTTAAAGAAGAAACTCAGTGGGCTGCCATGGTAAAAATGCTTATGGGTTGAATTGTGTTTCTTCAAAGAGATATGCTCAAGTTCTAACCCACAATACCTGTGTATATGACCTTATTTGGAAATGGTCTTTGTAGATATAATCAAATTAATATGATGTCATCCTGGATTAGAGTAGGTCCTAATCCAGTATGGCTGTCATCCTTATAAAAAGAAAAGAGACTCAGACACACACAAAAGGAGGACAGCCATGTGAAGACAGGCAGAGATTGGAGCTCTTCTGCCACAAGCCAAGAAATGCCCGGTACTATCATAAACTGTAAGAGGCAAGGAAGGGCCCTCCTCTAGAGGCTTCAGAGGGAGCATGGCCCTGCCAACATCTTGATTTCTGAGTCTCAAGAATTGAGAGAGAATAAATTTCTATTGTTTTAAGCCACAGTTTATGTATGATACTTTATTACAACAGCCCTAGAAAATTAATACAACTGGGCACAATAAAAGCAGGGTATATTAAGGGAAGGGTCTCAAAAACCACAGTGGAAGATTGTAGAAAGACAAACTTTGCTTAACTAAAACATTTCCTGTAATATTCAACCAAAGCTGGTTGTAGAACAATGAATAAATGAAAGATGCAATAGGAATTTTAAAAAGGAAATTCTTAGAGCAACAGGTTACATTACTCTTTTTAAAAACCTAATTATTTTTCTTAGTTTAGTACTTAATCTCTCTTTTCTTAATTTTTAATGCAAGTTTGCCTAACAAATACTATCTTTGGGATGCCTAACAACTTAAGAAATAGACAAATCTGACACTAAAGTTCAATCTCTTACCAATGAGCTAATATTTTATCTCAGATGCCAAAATGCAACTTTTCAGATGGCAGATATGCAATTTGTTACTTTTATAATTCTATTAATTTTACTGGGGGTATTTTATATTTAATTTATAGTTAATATTTAATTTTTGTTTTGACCATATTTTAAAGCAAATCCTGTTTATTCCTTTGGCCATCTAACCATTAATATATTTGAAATACAAAACAGACAATAATCATAATAATCTAACAGCTATTATTTTTAAACACTATGTGTTAGACATATTTATAAACTCTTTTATAGATAAGTCTTTTAAGTCTAAATAACTGTAAGAGAAATACGATTAATAACCTATTAATAATTTAGCAGGTGGAAACACTGAAGCTTTGAAATGTATAATGCAATGTGTCTCTAGTATTTCACCTTGGTTACAGGTAGGCGCTGACAAGCCAGATATCTAGTTAAAATCATTTCTCAGTAAGTGTGAGGGATTGGTTCCACAACCTCCCGAGGATACCATAATCCACGGAGTCCTTTGTGGATCACGTTTGAGTCCCTTATATTAAATGGTGTAGTATTTTGCATATAAACTACACACATTAGGTATTACTTATAATACCTAATACAATGCAAATGCTATGTAAGTAGTTGTTATACTGTTGAGTTTAGTCAATAACAACAGGAAAAAGTTTGTACATGTTCAGTATAGACACAACCATTCTTTTCTCCTCCCTGAGTATTTTCAGATCACAGTTGGTCGAAACCAAGGATACTAAACCCACAGAAATGGAGGCTGACTGTATATACAAGTCATATGTAATCTGTCTGTATTCCCATAGCTAGTAAGTAGTGGAGCCAGGTTTGTGCTGTGGCGATCTGGCTCCAGAGCCTACACCTTTATGCACTATTCTATATTCATGTCTTTTTAATGGAGATATGTGTTTTTCCTGAAGTTGGCTCACTTATAGACATTACTGACAGTACTATAAGTCATATAGTAAAATCATTTCTCAGTTGCCAGTAATGGCGAAAATGAACACTCACCTTTCAGATGAATCCTGTAATATGGTTTGTTATGTTTGACAAGATACAATTTGGAAGCTTCACAATACTTTGTACATTAGGAGACATGACTTATTAATGTACCATTAATGGAAAGTGTTACTAAATACTAAAATTCTGCAGAATCAATTGCTGGTTTTTTGGGGTTTTTTTTTTTTTTTTTTTTTTTTTGCTTTTGAACTACACTTACTCTCCATGGCAGCTTAAAAAGAGAAGCCCCATGAAAGTTTTAAACTCTATCCAAACCCAGGACAATCCAGCCTCTGTTTAGATGTGCCTCCACCCATCTCAGATTTTGATATAATTTGTCACTCTGCCATGTCCTTGTTCAAATACTACAGTATGTACTCTCTCAGCTTTTATGCCAGAAACCACGAGTCTCCTAACTTTAGGAATATGTTGGGTAAATATTCTTACCCAATGAACTGCTTTTGAACACTTAATGGTTTGCATCTAATATTATATATCACTAATTTTTATCCTCTTCACTTCAAAAAACATAAAATTCACCCTTTGAACACATCACATGTCCCTGAATATGTAAGCCCTGTAACCAAATCTTCAGCTGCCATTCTCATGGGAGTTTTTTATCTAATGAGATTATACTGAACTCAAATCTAAAATAGATTTGCATTTAGAATTAAAGTGATAATTCTTTCTCCTTTATAAAATTTGCGCCAAAATAGGTTCATAGTTAGAATACCTCCACAAGGCTCTTGATGGCTCACAAAACTTCTGTTTTCTGGACTTGAAATGTGTAATGAGAGGTTTCAGTGATGTCAAACTAGTTATAGGGAGAATCTGATCAGCCACCTTTAAATTTCTAGGAGTCAGAGCAAACCCATTTAAATTTATATTAATGAGTTAGTACAAACTTTCCCTGGGAAGGTTGTCTATGATCCTCACTTGGAATTCTGCAAGCATAAAAGCAAGTAAGTCAGTCTGGAAGGCTTGATTTATTAAACTACCAAATCACAATAAAATAAAACTAGAAGGAACTGTGCAGATGATCTATAAACTCATTATTTTACAGGTGATAAAACTGAGGCTGTGGAAGACACTGACTTTACACATGACCAGGTTTCTAGTCCAGTGTACTCTCCACTGATTCAGACTGTTTCTTGCTTCTCAGCACCTGTTATTCTGAGGCAGTTTCTACCAACAGTCACACAGAGAATGAGTTTTTTTTTTAAGGTACAAAGAAAGACTGAGAACAAATAATTCTTTTAATTATCAGTTTTTACTCTTAGTCTGTACCCTATGTTCCTTGCTTCTTCCTCTGGTTCTCACCCTCCTCAATCCCACCCTGCCTGCCACACTCCCAATCTCTGTGTCACCCCCCACAAAAGAAACATAAAGCTGGGCATGAGTTCTGTTACTTTTGTTTTAACCTCTCCTATAGCCACGCCCTTATTTTCAATAATTCCTGTCTATTATTTTCCATAAACTTAACAGGAAATTATACATCCTAGCACAAGCAGCCTCCTATGACTTTGTTGACTAATGCCTGAAGGAAAAAGCTATTACTTTCTGGTGGCCAAGTTATAGCTATAATTTTAGTTTATTCTTGAGATCACCTTCTATATGACAATATAAAATTACAAAGTGCCAATTTAACTTCTGAAAAATCAACTTCTTTTGTTATCCTACTAAACAGAAATCCATGTTAAAATAAAAATAGTTGTACATTTTTATCTCTATGCTATTATAATTTTCTGAAAAATAAGTCATTTTTATTTGTATCTGTGCTTAATGAGATGGAAAACCTATATGTATTACTTGTTTTGTAATTAGAAAGTAGGCTAGAAGATACCATCTGTCATTTATAGTCTTACTTCTAATCTAATAGAGGCAATAAACCCATATCAGAGCCACCAACTGCTTTGAGTTCTCAATCAATTGAGTCTTTGTATATTCTATAAGGGAAAAATTCATCCAAAAAACACACTATGAGAAAATCTCTGTTTTCTGGAAGACATTTAGTATGATGTCAGCCATCTGAACTGTGGTTCTTTTATTGGTTCGTTACATTTTATTTTAAAGATTAACTGATTTTGCTCTTCAGTGAACGCATATTTCTGAACCTGAAGATTTCTTGAGATTACGCAGACATCCATTTCGCTTCAGGTACTTGTGGTTTATCTCAACTGATAAGATATTCAGAAATAACTCTACATGGCAGAATTTTATGAACAAAAGCAATTCAAACTAGACACAAAGACTATCCAAAAGGTTTTACACCAGACACACTGTGGTTCCCCCATGGAATGCAGGGAATTTTAATAACATTATTTAATGAAGATCTGAAGACCGGACTAATTCTATCATGTATCAACTATGGTAATGATATGTTTAATATTGTATACATAGCAGTATTTTAACAGTAGAATTATTTGATAAGCATATAGAAATGTATTTTGCTATTAAAATCAAATCAAACCTGATGAGGATAATGTTACTAAGATTATAATAATAGGAAAAGGTTCAAAAGTACTTTATTGAAATCCAAATTCTGGAAACTAAATTCAAATTCCTTTAGAGCACATGGAAACAATTTTCTTTCTTTTTAGTACTCAAACATACTATGATTTATTCCCTATAATACTGTTATTTCACTGTTTTCAACATCACATTGCTTATGAGGTTTCTGCATTTATAATTCCTCTGAAAAGAATATAAGTAGACAACTATTTTACTGATATGAGTGGATATTTTTCCAGAAAATTTTATGGGTGAAATGTAGAACCGAGACTGAATAATGTGGAAACTGAATGTGAGGGTAAGTCTTCAGAGCCATAAACTTCCAGGAAGCAAGAGTTTCCCAACCCTGCACAATTTTATCAATTACTCATCCCATATTATTTAGTACTTAATATGCATAAGATATTAATAATATGCATAAGATATTAAGTACTAAATTATATGTGATGAGTAATTGATAAAATTACTTAATATGCATAAGATACTAAGTACTAAACAATATGGGATGAGTAATTGATAAAATTCTACAGCAAAAAAAGCCCTATATTACTCTTTGTATAAACAAATTTTCACTGAAAAATGAAGCAATTTTGAAATTTTTCAAATTTGCCTAAAACCTTTAAATCAGAGTAGAATGAAAATCCACGCAAATTTCTCCAATGAGTTCTTAAAGTGTAAGCTGCACTTTAAAAATCTATACCTGTAGGAATTACATCCAGTCATTAAACTTGTTTGAAATAGTAATGGATGAAATCACAGTTACTGTTTCCAAGCGTATGCAGAAACACATCTGAACCTAGCATGTTTTTGCTGACCTTAAAATATATAAGTACTTCATTTGTAATACATAAAACATGTATGCATATCTGTTGTAACAAGAAAATGGGATTAAAAGGCAAATGAAACATAGATAGAAAATAACTCTTTAACACTTCTATTATTTTAACCAATACTACTTTTGAGTATCAGATTGTGAAGTCACTGCAATGCTGTTAACAGTTAAGTGACCCAATTTACACCTTCTGTGTTATGGGCTCTTAACCAGTGTTACTAAAAACCTAGCTATCTTGGCCTTCCTTTCACTGATCAACCTATAAAATGCATGGACTTATGTTGATTTTCTTCAGTGTTATACATTTTAAGGACTTTCATGCCTAAATAAATAAATAAATAAAATACCCCAATTTTCATAAAGACACAATCATGGGTCAATGTTGCTGTTGTAATAACTCCTACAAAAGGAAAATGAAGAATAAAGTGGTCACAAGTTTCAGCAAAATAGGCATATTCTTTCAGAGAAACTAACAAAATTTAAAAATAACATCAACTATTAAGTGACTTTTTGTATTTGTGCTCTAAATAACTTCTTTTTTTTTTTTTTTTTTTTTTTGAGATGGAGTCTCTCTCTGTCACCAGGCTGGAGTGCAATGGCGCCATCCCAGCTCACTGCAACCTCTGACTCCCCAGTTCAAGTGATTCTCCTGCCTCAGCCTCCAGAGTAGCTAAGATTACAGGCATGTGCCACCACATCCTGCTAATTTTTGTATTTTTGGTAGAGCCGGGGTTTCACCATGTTGGCCAGGATGGTCTCGATCTCCTGACCTCGTGATCCGCCCGCCTCGGCCTCCCAAAGTGCTGGGATTACAGTGGTGAGCCACAGCGCCTGGCCAACTTTTTATTCTTTAACCTCAATTCTAACACTTAACATTTGAACAATCATATTTTTAAAAAACTGATTTTCAGAGAAACTTGCTAAACTAAAAGCTCAACTCTATAGTCTTTTAGGCCCCTGGTAAGTAATTATAAGAATTTATGTTCTCAAGAATTAATATTAAACTATTTAATTTTAGTAATCAATTTTAATAATTACTACATAAACACTTTAATATGTTTAACTTATAAATTCCATCATCTTTTACTTGCTAAATGTAGGATTTAGAATCCTTACTTCACACACCTAGTCAACTATTCCCTCAGTGACCCAAGAGAGTTTAAAAAGTCATGTTGTCTTTACAGCTAGAAACCAGACATATTCCCAAAGGAGGCTGTCCATTTTGGGCTCAAGATTAAGCAAACCTATATTGCTGAATGAAAAAACTGCATTGTTTTAAATAACTCACAGACAAAACAGATTCTCTACAAATCCAACTTATTGTTTAAATAACTCTGTCTTGTATATATCTGGAAAGAAATGTGATTAGTTTTATTAATTCTTAAAAAATTATCCAAATCAAATTGATTTCCTAACAATAAGTGTGAGTGGTTATGGGTGTATAAACATTTTGTATTCAGAGACCTGAACAGAATCACAGAAGCTGATCCTCTCGCCCTCAGCTATATCACATATATACCAACTCAAATAGACCAAGAATTAATTCCTGAAGGATGCTTTAGATCTATACACTATTAGGAGATGTTTCTTTATTGTCAGCCTCCATTTCCTCATGTCACAATTTAATTTGTAATTTCCTGGCATTTAGAGAAATGAAAATTTAAATGTTCTGTTACTGTAGATATTTTTATCTTTCCAAACTATTTCAGCCTATTAATCAGGTCACCAATGTGGACTTACCCAAAAATAAACATTACAATTCTAACACGTCTATTGTAACCAGGCAGGCCTCAATCTTACTGTTGTGTACTCTTAGAAAGTTGGGATGCATTTTTACATGAAAACATTGGAAATTATTATTATATTCCACATTTCCCCCCCCCAAAAAAAACTGCACTAATGATAGTTCTATGTCTTAAATATTGACTTTAGAATCCAATATCCCCAAAGTTTCAGGGTATGCAGAATTAGTTGGGGACAGCTGCTAGCAGCTGGCAGCACCCAAAACCAAGTCAGAAAAGAGTTCTGAAAGAAAGTGAGTGGGGACATCTCCCCCACCCCCACCTTGACCCTAACAGTAAGGGAAATGACCTTCATTTGGATAAAGATAATTCCCTTCCTAAAGTACTCTAAGCTTCTTAGTAGAGTCAGAACTCCTTGGAGTACAGGAAAGTGTGCCCTATCTGCTGCATTTACCAGTTAGGTCTTAATAATCAGCCGATTATTTAACAAAACATCTTGCATCTAATAGGGACCAATAAAGGGGTTAAATGAAGAGAGCCTTTATTTCTATTACTAAATAATGTCTTTTAGAACCAGGCATAGCATACAAACTAGTGTGTGACAAGTGCTGAGTGTAAGATACTGATATCCCTAAAGATTTATGAATTACATATCTAAGAAGTATACCTATATCTACCGATTTTGAAATATATATCACAGAATTTATGTCATCTTCTTCCAAGTAAACACCTTAAAGAGCTACACTGACATTTACTTCATTGCTTCAAATATGCTCTGAACTCCTGTCTTGGAATTTTTAATGTTTTTTAATATCCTCAATGCTTGTTTATTTTTTAAGAGTACATATGATTTTAAGAAACACAGGTTTTTCCAAGCCAGGACTTGTGATAACAGTGATAAACATAATAAATAATATCATTGTGTTTAAAAAGAAGAAGGAGGAGGAGAAAAAAGTAATCAAATTGGTATGGGGGTTTGATCAACCAGGTTCTGAAAAACTCTGAAAGGAAATATCAAAAAAAGGTCATTGGAATTGCCCACTAATATATGGGTAGAACCCTTTAAGGCCTTGGAGAGAAACCACACCTGGAGGTCCTTTAAGTGACTGCATTGAAAGGAACAAGATTATTTATCCTTCTAAGTT